>NC_000004.12:111497138-111648653 GCF_000001405.40 Homo sapiens
AGAAGTTTCCTGAGGCCTTTCCAGCCACGCTTCCTGTATAGCCTGTGGAACCATGAGCCAATTAAACCTCTTTTCTTTATAAATTACCCAGTCTCAGGTAGTTCTTTACAGCAGTGAGAGAACAGACTAATACAGGCTGGGAGGGAGAAACTGTTTCATGCCTCTCTTCTAGCTTCTGGGAATCTTTGGCTTTCTTTGGCTTGTAGACACCAGGGAAAAGAGATCACCCTGATCTCTTCATATTCATATGGCATTCACCCTGTGTCCAAATGGCCCCTTTTTACAAGGTCACAATCATTTTGATTAGATCCCACCCTAATGACCTTATTTTAAATTGATAATCTGCAAAAACCCTATTTCCAAATAAGGTCACATTCACAAGAACTGGGAGTTACAACTTCAGCATCTTTTGGGGGACATAATTCAACTTATAACACGGAGTCTATCCAGTTTGACATTTGTATTTCCATCCTGTTAAGCTCTTAAGATAACACAGACTAGAACATTGGGATTTCCTTGTAAGGACTATATTATATAAAACAAGAATATGACAGATTAAGGAAGGTTAAAGAATGCATCTAAAATAACATCAACTTAGTTTTGCCTCTTTTTAGTTAAATATGTGCCTTTGAAATATGTTTCTAATGTTCATTATTTCTTTCCATTCTCATCTAATGAATCTTTCTACCAACACATAATCCAAATTATAAAAAAAAGTTAGACACAATTTTGGTGGCTGCCCAATATCTGATTCATTTTAATAATCAAAGACAGCCTCTAATAGGAGTGTGTTTCTCTATTACATGTTCATTCATATTCATAAGGACAAATGCAAAGTAGAGAAATACCTCTCAAAGGAAACAACACATTGGCTATTTGGTTCTTAGGTAAACAGGCCATGACTGTACTGAATCTGCTGGTCTTTTCTCCAATCCCTCTTTGCCATATCAACTGATTTCTCCACTGTTGATTGAATCAGCTCTGCAGACAATCCAATTTTGTCATTAAGACAGCTGAAAGCACAAGATTGACTCTTTTTTTATCTGTTTCATATAAATGCAATTATTGTCAAAGTGTTCTCAAATCCTCTGACTACAGAACATATGAAACTTTACTTTTTACAAATTTTACAGGAAAAAATAAAGTGGACTCTATAATCGATTTGCCTAATAGTAGTAAAAGTTTGAGTTAACAATTTTAGGAATTGAACTTAAGAGCCACAAAATCCTCAAGATGGTCTGACTTGACAGTATCTGGAGCTAGGCTGATTTAGGATTAATGACATAATGTCTGGAAAATACATTTAGTTTCTTTAAAAAAAATAGAAGCAGTATTGGCTTCAGCATAAAGCAATATTAGGAAAGTATAAACTTCAGACACATTCCAGTGACCGATGTGTTGCCTCTAATTTTTAGTCTACTAGAGGGGTGAATAGGGTGTTTTTATTCTACTGCATTTACCTTTATTCTAAGATATACTTAGAGTATATCTCTGAATGAAGACCAATGACATACTGGGTACTTAGCACCTTTCCTTGCTTTCCAAGTGGACTGCAAATATTATCTCACTACCCTTCAAAACTATTCAGGCAAGAAATCATGAATCTCATCTCAAAAGTGATCCTCAACAATGAGAATTTATATTGTCCAATAAGTATGTATACTATATATGCATTTAAAATCTCCCTTCCCCCAAGTTTTTATTTTGGAGATATAGTCTATAAATGAGCAATTAAGAAACCATCTAAACAAGTCAGGAAGTAACTGCATGTCAAGAAGTTATTTGTGAATTACTCTCCAACATGTTTGTTTTACAAATTAACATTAAATCTTCAAATAACAATAGGTTGGTGTGATTTTCTGTGAAGCAAACATGAAGCTCTAAGTGTTTAACCATGTTAAGGGCTGCTTTTCTATTTACATAATGATATATCATGTTTATCTTATTCACACTCTAAAAACATTAGTAACCATTCATAAATGGAGCTCTGATAAAAGAATACTTCATTTCAGAATCACTAGTCTATGTTAATACCATTTTGGTCAGGGTCTTGTTATAGCTGTTAGGATTTCAACCCCTGTAGGTCAGAGAAAGAAGATAGGAAAATCCTTAATAAAATGTTGTTAGAAGCTACAGGTGGGAAATAAAGAAGCTCTTGCGACCTATAATCTTATTCCCTCATAAAGTCACCAAGAGAGCACAGCAGCTTCTGCAGTTGAAATTAGACAACACACTAGTGGCTTTTCAATCTTAACTTTTACAGTTCGATGTTATCATTTTCAGTGAAGAACAAATGAAGGATACAGCAGCACTGCCAAGATGCTCTCTCTGGGTTTAATCAGTCCACTCAACCACATGAGGTAACTCTGCCTTAACAGTATTTTATTCCCATTTATAAACAATGCAGACGTTTTGCTGGTCTGTTCATAAACAACAGATTCTCAACATGCTTTATTTGGGTTTTATCTATTTCTATGCCAAATACATCTAAAGAAAAAAATTTCCTTTTAAACATTTCTTATTAGGTCAGATCAACCTTGTAACAGGAGTTGTCATGAGATCATAAAACCTACAGAAGAAATCAGCCCAGGTAAAGTGCAGAGTCTCTCTAATATATGGTCCCACTATATTGGCACTGTGTAAAAATCCATATTAAAAAAAAGTCCTGTAAAGGGCTACAGGCAAGGGCTTGGGCAAATAATAATGTTGATGATAACTGTGCTCATTCAGCAGATGCCTCTGTGAGCTCTTGCCAAAAACATAGTAGGCTTTGACATCGTTCTGCCATTACAGCCATTGGGGATGGTGCAAAGCTCCAATATTTCTGCCACACTCAATTAGATCTTGAGGGATAATTAGCTTGTTACTTTGTTTTGCATAGAAAAGTATGTAACTTGTATTTTTCTTGGCCCAAAAGGGGGAAACAAAGGAATTTTTTTTTTTTTTAGGAAATCACCATTGAGATATTTTTCTTTATTTCATAAAACTAATATTTTATGTTTTCCCTATTTGGTTAGGAAGAATATTAAGCAAAATATAAAATAATTGAGTTGACAGTATATTTTCCTGTAGAAATATCTAGGGAAGGGTTTATAGCAATTTTCTATGTTTTATTTTTCTCTTGATTTATAAAAAACATCTCTAGTTACTACAGCACATCAAAGTTACATTTTTAAAAATGTTTAATCAATATCAAATTGTTTTATTTAAAAATAGGTTCAGACTATCAATCCTAAAAATTATGCTGCCATGAGAAAAGATAAAATAAGTTTCTTTTGTTCTAGATAGCACAAACGTTTTTACAGATCCATTTTGTTCTAAAAGTTCATCATACTGTACAAAGAGTAGTGTTGCGTATTATTATGTGAAGAGGACAAAATTTTATAAATCTAATTTGCTATCAAGCATCTGCATAATGTTAAGGTTTGGATTTAACATAAGCTTAAGATTTGTTACATGCAATTTTCATTTATTTACCATGTATAGGACAACTTGTTTAACGAAATATTTGGCACTGTGAGCAGTTTACTTGACAAATTCTGTCAAATATTTGCTTTCTGAAATCTCGAGAATTGGTTGAATATAATTGTACTTAATGTTTGCAAAATAAATAAATATGGGACTAAGGACGTTCTATCATTAATTTGTCAGAAAAGAGAGTTGTCATTTCTGAAAATTTAATGTCATTGAAGCTCTATTTCCAATAGCAAAGGAGCACTATTGCTAATAGACTTCAGAGCTTGAAATAAATAAATCTTTGGAATCCTGTTGCATCTCTTGGGGTGTGACATTTGACAGTCTTTTATAGCACAGAACGAAACAAGTTTGTGAGCTGGAATTCAATTGTGGCGTATTGATTCCTTGCATCAGTCATTATTCCCTGCTGATTGACAGGTGAAAATTGGTTACGTTAAGTATTTCATATGTTATATTGGCTGACATTTGCTTGCCTGCTCTTGTGTCAATATTGTTGTAAAGATCTCCAGCTTTATGAGATAGCAATAGACACTGACTGTGGCTTTTGTGTGATGTTCCAGTGTTTTTCCTGACATAATTTAAGACATATTAAAAACCAGCAGCATCTTCCCTCTTGAGAAGCTTAATGCCAATATTATTGTCTTCCAGGGGAAGATCATGTATGCTCATAATCGGGTGCTAATTTCCACCAGTACGCTCATGTTTAGGCATTAGGCACTATAACTGTAAAATTGAGCCTTCTTGATTGATTCATGTCAAGCCTCATCTCGGCTCCTGCAGGGGAAGTCATCCGGCTGACCCTTTTTACACTAAAAGAAGAGATTTGTGTTCCTTTCTTTCACCTGGAACCATCAAATTGACTGAATAATCTGTAATACATTAGTGCTGACATTTGTTAGGGAGAATTAAACAAGACACAGTAATCATTCCCCAGAATAAAAATTGTGTTTGATTTCCAGCAGAGTTCTATTAAAGGGAGGACAGAATCTGTCTCTTCCAAGGTGGAAAATCGTGAATATTCCCTGCATTAATGAACCAAGTTAACACTTTAATTGCTTATAGAACCGAGTTCTCCAATGACAGCATTAAAAGATAGGGAGGCTCTGATTTATGGTCAACACAGATTTGTAACCCAGTGAGGTTCTAGAGAGGAAAAAAAATTCTTATTCATTTTGCTTTTGCTAGTCTGAGACATGAAAAGTTGTATTATTCCCTGGGATATATAAAATTCATCCAAAAATGGCCTACTATCTACTCTCCAACTCACTTGAGAAATATGGCAAAAAGATTAAGTGAGCTAAATATCTAAGTACTAAATTTGTCTTTCATTATGTCACTTTGGTTTGCAATGTCTTTGAATTTTGATCAGGAAATATCATTACAGTTCATTCTTTTGGTTCTAAAGTATATAGGAATCATTGTGTCTGAACTTCATTTGATGCAGAGGCTCCTGAACAACTGTATCTCTTATTCATTGGTCTTCATCCACAGCACCTGCTCATCAACCACAGCTGTCAACATGGAGCTGAATCATATTACACTCTAGAGTTCACATGTGTGTGCTCTGTAAAAACCACAGTGTTTTATATCTAACTTGTGTAGGACTAATTTTCAAGATGATTCGTTCATAAGTGATTATGTGAGTATGTTTTCCATTATGAGTTCGCACTTCTCAGAAGTACCACTTAAAAATGGACCTTTTCCACTTTTGACTACATTTGTGGAAGCAATTGTCAAGTTTGTTAATTGGGGTCATTTCAAAGTGCTAACATGCCTGCCTGTGCTCTAAATACTTTATGTCGTATGGAGCAATTTTGGAAGAAGAATTGAACAGCTTTTGTAAAAAAAATAAATAAATAAATAAATAAATAAAAAATAAATATGTAGAGCAAACAAAACTTTCTTCTTCCTTGAATTATCATAAAGATTCCAGAAACTTGCTAAAGTTAAGTGGATGATCCATGAACAAGAGGTAAGCTCCTACCAATTTCTACAAAAAAATATTCAAAAGAAACTCTTAGTCTAAGAAAATAAAATAAGTTGGTTTCACTTCATTCAATTTGGGAAAGTTTGTGGCTTATTATCTTACAGATGACCTATTTCTGTTTAAAAAAAATTCACTGAGCAAACATAAATCCTGTAGCCCTCAGCCAAGCATTTTCTTAGGAATTGAATCTACTAGCATGAAGACATGAGGCTTGCTCTCATGGAGTCCACAGTCCCCCGGGAGAGAGATGGAACAATATACTTGCAATAAAATAGGTTAAGTTCTGAAGGGAAAAAGCTGTACAAAAAACACTCTTTTAATACATCGATGACCTAACTGGTTTGCACTCCAATTTTGTAAATAAAACCACATACATTCATAGTTTAGTATCATTTTGTACTTCACAGAGGAAAGTTATAATGCAGAAGAGACTGATATATAATTTATGGAATCAGAATCAAATATTTGACAGCTTATCTAGTGTCTCTCCATGAACCTATTTGTTGACAAAAGCACTTGCTCTGAATGGAGAATGCCCCACTTTTGCATGACACGTCTCCATACATTCATTTTTGGTGGAAGTATAAGGAAGCGCTTCAGTTGTCAATTACCCTCTCGTCTGAACAGCATGAGGAGCCCTGATAGATTTTAAAGACAATACATATTTTCACTGAAATTACAAACTAATCCAAGGTCAAGCAGTAAATATAAAATAAAGCAAAAAACACTGAACTTGAAACAAGAAGCCAAATCATTCTGACCTGAAATGCCTGACCTGGAAAAAGAGTTTGTACTATCTAATTTCTGACATTATTCCTAAACCTAAAATTCAATGACAATTTCACATAAAATGCTTTAAAATATACCAGTAAATGATATAGGGAACCGAAGAGTGTAAATGCAAGGGGAAAATACTTTTGAAATAAGGAAATTTGTGACTTATTTATTAATATGTAAGTAAGTAAAATATTGGTGACCATAATTTTTTACTGTTAGGACTCAGAGGCATACAGGTTAATAAGACCAAGTCCCGGTCCTGTGTGTTTCTGTGCACAACAGTAAGAGAGCAGGAGAGTCGACTAAGTCACCCAGTTTGATAAGCCCTATAAGAGGCAAATTCTATAGCACTCAGAGGAGGTAGCAATTAACTGTGTGGGTAATAAGAAAAGGTCAGAGACCCAGAGGTGTCATTTCAGCTGGGCAGACATTAAAGAATGTCTCAGATTTTCAGTGTGGTTGAAGTGAAAATGAATGAGTACTTTAAGAAGATATTTTTCATTGGTCAGTGTCCCTTTGCTGACAACATAATTATCTCTAAATAATTTAAGCAGAATGAAATTTAAAACAGGGTGCTGTTTAACTTATCTTTGGGAGGGCTGAAAAAGGCTCTCATTTGGGCTTTCAGAAATTACTCCCAAAGTCATACTACAGAGCCAGACCACAAGGGAACTACTATTTCTTCTACAATCAGGAAAACCTGGCCAATAATGTATAGTTGCTGCTCCAATTAGGGACATAATGCATAAGCCACCAGACCAGGAAACCACTGTTGGCATGTAAGCCCCACATGGGGAGAGATCATGATGTGTTTTGTTCATTGATATATCCCAAGGACCTTGAAGAGTGTCTGGCATATGGCAGGTGCTCAATCAATATTTGTTGAGTTCACTGAATAAGTGAACTGCTAACTTTACCTGTTCCAGAACGATCCAATGCCTAATAAAATTCACTCCACCGATATGTTTTGGATATATGTCCCCACCCAAATCTTATGTCGAATTGTAATCCCCAGTGTTAGAAGTGAGACCTAGTGGAAAGTGATTGGATCACGGGCGTGGATCCTTCATGAGTGGTTTAGCACCATCCCATTGGTGCTGCTCTCATGATAGTGGGTGAGTTCTGGCAACATCTGGTTGTTTAAAAGTGTGTAGCACCTCCCTCCTCTCTCTCTTGCTCCTGCTCCCACCATGTGAGACACTTTGCTCCCCCTTTGCCTTCCACCATGATAGCATGTTTCCTGAGGCCTCCACAGGAACAGAAGCCACTATGCTTCCTGTACATCCTGCAGAAACATCAGCTAATTAAACCTCTTTTCTTTATAAACTACCCAGTTTCAGGTATTTATAGGAATGCAATAACAGCCTAATACACCTACCAGTGGCTTCCCTGTGCCCTGCTTCTCAATACCTACCAAGTTTACTAGACACTAGTACAACACTCACGTTTAGAAGAGAAATCAAAGGCCTTTCTGACAGTGTCTCCAGCAAAGACAAAAGATATCTCAGAAGGATGCTATCTGTCTCACTTTGGCTTCCAGTCTCATGTGATTGCATTGGAATGGCAGAACCTAGTCATATCCAGTGTGTACCATGAAAGGAGCCTGGGAATATGGCTTTTAGCTCTTTGGCCTCTTCAAGAAAAGAGAGATACATAGTTCATCCTTTTGACTCCTCATATCTGTATACACACATCTTATTAAACGTAATCTTAGTAACAAGGAGAAAAACATTGTCATACCTATCATAAAACTATGGTGAATAGGAAAAAAAAATTCACTTACCCCCTCAAGGGTGAAAACAAAGCCTATCCATTACTGCATTTATTTCTGATCATTTTATTCTTTTCTAACTGATCAGAGTCCTTTATTATTATCTTAAAACCCATGGACTACATAATATATTTAACAACAATCATCATATATGATATAAAAGGGGTGGAGACAGGAGGAATGAGGGGAACTCAAAAAAAACCCAGTCACATGACATGTGGATCCAGGTGAAATTAATGAATTCACTGGAGTGAGCCAGTACTGCAAGCTAGCTAGTGATCCAATTGTGCAAGCCAAATATATTCTGGCCCCACTGTGGTTTGGGACTACCTGGTAGTGAATTTCTATCTGTTTGGGCTTAAATATCAACAGAGAGAATTTTGTGTCATGGCCCTGACTGTGACTTTTAGGATGAGCAGTGATTCCAGTCACCCTAATATAGGAAGGTTGGGCCAGGAGAGGGCCAGAATGCCAAGGATGGAGGGATCCACTTTCTACCCACAGGCTTACTAAGTTGAAGTTGCTTTTTGCATATTTGCTAGGCTGCACCTCTTGTATCTCATTCCTCTACAACACACACAGAAGAAAAAACTATATCCACACCATTTGAAAACAGGGACTGAATGAAAGATGGGAGTCATAGCCAATCTTGGTATGTGTGAAATGCTTTTATTTGAGGGGATATTATCATATGGGTTTTTTTCTGCATAAATATATACAACATGGATACAAACCATAGTCATTTGTGTAAATGGCAATGAAGTCAGAGTCAGGATATAGCAAATTTCTTCCTTTTACAGCAATCCAAATTCCCTTTTTTTCTCAGTCAGAACCCCTAGCATATCACTGTTTTTTAGACAGCAGAGTAACACAATACACTTGCCTATGTGGAGTGATGTGTAGTCCTCCATAGGCATGGTAACACTAGCTGGCACACCAGAAGAATCCTAGGATGAAGACAGTCTCTTCCCTGCACATGATTTATAGCGGAAATCTAATTAAGAATGCATGTTGTGCACATGTACCCTAAAACTTAAAGTATATAAAAAAAAAGTTGCCAATAGAAAAAAAAATGCCCTTGCACTTTTCTTGTCACCAGTCTTCTACCTGTTCACCTGGTCAAAGCATTGGCCAGTGAGGAGTCCTTATTCTGCCTATGTATTCTTCTAGAAAACTGTAGCTCAAGGTTCTGCCTACTAGTAAGAGTTGCACTTCAAGCCCACTTCTGAACACAGCCATAATGCTGAAATTATCCACTTCTATCTGGAAAGCATATCATGCTCAATGATCTGTAAACCAGCAGATTGGTTTTATGGGAATTCTCTATGAGGCCATAGGTATAAATGAAGGAAAGGATGGCAATGGGGAAAAAATAGGTACAATGTGAGTAGAAGACACCTTCTCAATTATCTTATTTGTGATTTTAAAAAGTGCTCCAGATTGATCTTACAAAAACAACTTCAACTTGATGATGGAATATTGCTACATACTTCTAACTTGATGGCTTTTTTATAAGAACATTGTTTTATGATAGGTAGCCCATGACACTTGGTTATTGGTGTATCATGGTCAAAATATTCCAGTAGCATGCCAAGACAGTAATTATCACAGAAATCTTTACTCCAGACCTATAATGGCCTAGGCTGTGATTCTGCTACCCAGCATTGTCAGAGTATTCTAATGTTTTTCTAATCTTTAAGAACCTTTATATCCACTGGGCCCAAGTTACAAAGCTACTTCTACAGAAACCTAGACCAGCTGGAGAGTATTTTCTTTCTGTGAGGCTCAGCCCGAAGTTGGCAGTCTTAAGGGATCCTCAGTAAATGAGTCACAAAAAGACTCACAAGTATGATTTAAGTTGCCTCTCAGTCTATAGGAACCCACAAGCATTATGACTTTTTTTGACGTTAGTTGACATGGCTTGCAAGTTTTCCTTAACTTTAGAGGTGATTACCTTGCATGCTGCACACGATTGGATCTCTATAATCATCATTAAATTACTGTGGGGCGCAATTCTCACCCTCTTGCATGCATGTATCTTACCTACACATGTAGATCATAGTTATGTCCTGCATACTGACCTCAATAAATTGGGCCCACATGACATCCCATGTAATGGTGAATTGAGTGAGGTTCCTGCAGAACAAATTAAACCAGATAAATAACATAATAAAGTAATACAGTGGAGTTTTACTACCATCACTGAAAGATAAAAACAAATTACCTCTGGAGTCCTGTTTCTTGGAACAGAAAAACTACATTTACTAGATAAATTAACATGCCTGGTGCCAGAAATTGGTTTGATGTGCTTCAGTAAAGAAACAATTTCTGGGTCAGTTGTTGACAGTGGGGCTAACACATCACTAAATGTGTAATCATCCATTGCTGAGCACGGGGAGGGGCAGTTATCTAATGACCACATTAGTACACACAGACCTGGGGTAGGAGCTAAAAAACTGATGACCCAGAAGTAGGAGGGGGCCTTCAAGAGTTGACCTTCTGCTTTTGCCCCACCTTACTTATCCCTCTCCATCAGATTCAGCCACAATTTTTCAAGTCCAGAGACCTTGAAAAATATTTCAGAAAAACTTTTTTCATCAGGTGAGGCATTTGCCAGGTATTCAGACAAAGACTGGCCTTGTGGCTGGGTTGTGGTGTGGAATACTCACAATTACCTGAATCCTTGTAATATTCTTCTAATCTTGGGGTCACTCTTTCCCAATAAACACTCCCAAATTTACAAGAATCTTGGAGAGGTTCAGAGCATAACCTATGTTGTAATTCAGCACTCAGAGTCAGACTTGGTCATCATCTATTTAGGCAATTTCAGTTAGAGTTGATAAAGTGATGATTGTTTTAGGAAGTCCATGGATGATCCTGGTCATCTGAGGTCATTTTGATGTGATAATTTATAACTCTAAATATTCATTTCTTTTAAAAACTCACAAGAATATTTAGAAGCAGCTACTCTACACCAGTTTCTGTATTCCCCATTATTTCCATAATGGTCCACTGAAGGAGTCATGTCGTATGCCTTGCCTTCAGTGTACACTTCTTTCTGGGTGGTCTCAGATGATAATTTTAGTAACTGCTTTATCTCTGCATGACATGAGTAGCCTCTTGTTTTCTAACGCTGATGAGCTTCAAACCCACCCAGGCATTGCTGGGTTTTTTTGAGTAAATTTAAGGTATACAAGTGGAGTTTGATACATGGATGCATAGCAGTCATTGTTTTTAGTATTTTAGAATATTTGCTTTCATTGAAAAGGTGTATGTCTACTTTCTGCAAAAGTAGTTTAAAAATTTTAGGCACTGGTATTTTTAGTGGCTTATTCTATTTTAGTTGATAACATTTGTTGGCTAAAGAAAGTTTAGATTTATGGGCAAGAAGTATGATCAATTAAATTGCACTTCTTAGGATCTTATAAAGAGAAGACTTCTTCAATATTCAGAGATATGAGTGAAATGGAAAAAATAAACACAGTTGGCAAAGAGATAAATTACTTCTTTAAGGCCTAACCTTCATAGTAGTCTACTCATGCCACTTTTATAGAGATCATACTTCTGAAAGGGATCTAAGAGTCCATCTTGACTAACCCTTCAGTTCACAAGAATAGAAGCTGATGCTGCACCCCCACCCCGATTAAACACTTCATTAGATACTGTCTTACTCTCTAATTGCCTCTTGCACATATTACATTTCTAACAAGACTGTAAGCTCTTTGATAGCAGAGATAATTATCTTCTGTGTTTTTTTTATCTCCCTCACAGCTCTTAATACTTGTTGATTAAATGATTGATTTAATCAAGGATGCTCTCTTTTTTATCCCTTATGCTTCCAAGATCACTGGTCAGGTCACAGATTGAGGCACTCATGGCAAAAGATATTGTTAGTATGTAAAGAATTCTAGGTCCTTTGGATATAGTGTACTTGGATAATAAGGTGACTAAATAAAGTCAAATGACTCAATAATTAATGGAATAAAAATCAAGAGGAAGGATTACAAAAAGGAATTTGTAAATTCAAACAAGATTAGTTTTCCAAAATGATGATATGATACAAATGGACTTTTGTTCACTATAAAAATGCTAGAAAGCTATAAGATCCACTTATAATCTAAGTACAAAATGTGTGCTTTTGTACATATGTAGATGCACTAATGTATATTAAGAAGCCTAGATTTTACTTTGCACAATTATACTGCCAATTACTGTGCACAGAAAATCAATAACTTGAGATTGGTCAGAGTATACATATGTGTCTTAGTTATTTGACAAGAAGTCATAGAAGTATAAATGATCTCTCTTCAAAAGTGAGAACTTGTGTTTTACAGATAAAAATACAGACATAGGGTATTTATATGCTTTGATGTTTTTTTCCAAAGCTCATGCATTTATTAAATAAATTTAGATTAGCCTAAATGTGAAATTTTAATTCTTTTTCTATGCTTTGTGAAGGTCATGTAGTTGTCCTGTATTTGAGGGAGATGTTTTATAAACAATGAACAAAGTTAAAACTGCAGTCACTCCCTACCATATTATTGTTAATTACATTAATGTTAATTTCACTTTTCCATCTGTGGATTGCTTGAAGAAAAATATCCTATCTTATTTTTTTAACTCATAGTGGTATCACCTTAGGTATAATCTGCTCATCAAAGCAGGTACTGACCAGCCTAGAATAAAAAAGAGAAAACATAAACCCTACCATCAGTCTTATAATCAACAGGAGGCATAGCAAGGAATTTCTATCCCTCTTTAGTGTGCTGTAGACATTAAGAAAATAGTAAAAGACATGAAAATGAAACATAAAACATAATTACAATAATTCAGGTATGATCTGATGAAGCTCAAATCAAATTAGATGTTTTATCAAGAATAATTGATAAAACTCAAATAAAATGAGAAGACAAGTTCTTTGAAAATGAAGAATAAACAAGAAGAAACACAGCTACATATAAACAAAGCAAATAATGCCTTAGGAGAAATATACAGTGAAGAATAACATTTTTAATTTTAAAAATAAAAAGAGTAAAAGAATTTATGAGCTAGTGACATACATTGAAGATGGGCAATGAAAATCCAACGTAAGAATCATCAGAGACCCTGAAAACAACATCAACAACAACTAAAGCAAAAGAACAGAAAATATATTAAAATTTATTATTAAAGAAAAATGTACTAATTTCTTTTTAGCTGAGACCCTGCCTATATTGAAAAAGCACACATTTATTTTTCTGAGAATATAGACTCAAAATGGCCAAAGGCAAGTCATATTCTACTAAAATGACAGGACATCATAAAGAAAAAAATCATTTGTCATGAATACAAAAAGAACATGAGACCTATATGAGAAAGAAAATTAGATAACTTATTTTTCAGCAGGTTGCTAGAAGATTGGGAAAACATATTTAAGATGCAGAAGGAAAAATAATGAGTCAAGTATTTTACATCCTTCAAAAGTGACCTTCAGTACAATATACAAGAATCAAAGACTACTATTCTCATGTGTACTTCTTAAGGAATCTATTTAAAAGTGTGCTTCAGACAACCAAAATGTCCAGAGAGACATAGACCCAAGTCTCAGTGATGACTACCTGTGATTAGCTATGTAGTTACTCATAGAACTAACATAAATGAGGTTAAAAGGCAGGAATTATGGAATGTAAGGGATAAATAATCTGAAAAGGCAGATTGAATCCAAACAAAAAGAATGGAGAAGGAACTAGCACATAAAAAATTTTAATTTGGTAATGCTGGTATGAATATTATTCTGAAATTGTATTCTGAATAGTAATGTGGGATAAATCAAATAAATAATTTTAGGATTAACCATATAATAATCCCAGGGTTCTTGATGTGGACAAAAGGAAATGAGGATGTAAAAAAAAACATTTTAAATAAAATCCCTATAGGCTTGAATTTGAACTGGAATATAAGTATTTAGTCTTTAAACATACTACTACAAATAAATATGTATATATACACTTCTGTCCACCAGAAAGGCCTAGAAATAATACAACAATCCAGTAGCAATGAGCATTTCTAGTATCCATAATGTGTCTAAGCATCATGACTCATTGAAATAAACCAAGGCTTTTTGGAGTAATGGTTGATTGCAGATCTAGAATATGAAATATGCAAGATGAGAGTTCCATATTTTGGCATATCAGATAGCAAGGCAAGTATCAAAGTCCAATAAGTTTGTGTCAAAAGGAGTCAAGAGCCAACCTAAAGATGCTGTCGCTGGCCAAAAATAGAATTGTTTGAGCTTTAATATGGATAAAAAATTGCAATGGAGTAAAATCCATTAAAAATTATGATTATTAAATAATAACTAATTTATTCTTAAAATATTACTAAAAACCAATTAGTATTAAAATACATTAGTAAACATTACATTTAAAATATTATTAAAGTAAAAATGAACTTGTCATCTTCTGAGGATGACAGGGAAGCAATTCTCTTTATTGATTGATTTTTTTTTTTAAAGACCAGGTGTCCTTCTGTCACCCAGGCTGGAGTGCAGTGGCACTATCATGGCTTATTGCAGCAGTCTCAACCTCCCAGGCTCAAGCGATTCTCCCATCTCAAGCTCCTGAGTAGCTGAGACTAAGGCCTGCACTACTACACCAGCTAATTTTTTATTTTTTGTGGAGACAGAGTTTCATTATTTTGTCCAGGCTGGTCTTGAACACTTGGGCTCAAGCAATCCTTCTGTCTTGGCCTGTCAGGAAGTGTCGGGATTACAGGCATGAGGCACCATGCCTAGCCATAATTATCTTTAAAATAGAGTAAAACCAAACCAAAGAAAACATCAAACATTTATCCTACATTTATTTTCCGTATATGAATTTTATCACTGTTTAACCAAAGAGTAGATGAGGAACACATCTCCTTGTAAAAGTATTCTGGCTAATACATGGAAGCAAAATGATTGAATTAGAAAATAACCATTTTGTAGACCCTAATAAATTAATGGACTAGGCATTGAGCATCAATAAATATTAACTTCAAAAAAGTAAAAAAACAGACATTATATTCCTCCTTATGGAAGAACATACCACCGCCGATATTTCTCACCAAAAGAATCTAACATGAGTCAGATTATGCGTCTGGATCCAGCTTGCATTTTTCAGGAAATGCAAAAGACAGAGAAAAAGTAGCACAGAATGAGTCAGCATTCTGTAATACATTCAGTAGTACAGCATGAGTCGGCAATCAGCAAAATCTAGACTTTTGGAAACTCCATACATCAAATCATCTGGGCTCTTTAACAGATAGATTGTAAAGGGAAAAACAAAATGGAGAAAATATTCATGGATTTAAAAATACTTTAAACAACAGTAGCAAGTTAAAAATGGGTAAAACATATCTGTGTATACCTAGACACAGTGAAATACCATAAAAATTGGGTTAGTATAAGACAGTTTTGGAGATAAGGCTGTGATTAGGATGGGGCATAGGCAGAGCAATCTGGCTCCAGAATCTGACCCATCCTTAGAATTCATGCGCTTCAGCACTTTGTTAGGTTGTCTTTGTGTGATTTAAAACTATTCCAAACAAATCTCAAGGATGTTTTGAATTTGCAAATAGTTTTATTTGAATTTATTGAGAGTTCACTCTATTTTTGACAAATTACTAGGCATTGGTGATAAAACAGGTAATAAACATGGTCTCTTTTCTGGAGAAAAATAGTATTTTTAAAGTCTTGAGAGCACAGTCATAGTGTCAATTGTAATAAGGAACTGTGTACATATTATCCAATTAGTTGTAATTATACAGACAACTTTGATATGAAGAAGAAATACACTAGCAACCCAGTTTCAAGGGCTCCCGCCCAAAATTAAGTATTTTTAAATATTTAACAAAATCTTTGATATATTTATTTTCCTTAATCTAGCAATTTTAATTTCAAAATTTTATCCTAAAAATTCTTACAAAGACAAATATGCAAAGATGTTCTTTATAGTTCTATTGTATCAACAGTTACAATCAATATAAAATTCTCATCAATGAGGATTTTATTTAACAGATGAAGATGCAACTGTACAGTGAAATGTCATAATTTTAATTATAAACTCAAAGGTCTCCAATATATTGATGAATTTAAAAAAAAAGTTTAAAACCTACATTTTAGTTCTGGGTGTGAATAATACATTATCTATTTTCTTTGAGTGATAAATATTAAAATTCTACATTTCCAAAGGGAATTTTTAAATCCTTGGCTTATTTAAAATTACATATTTTTATATTCATTCCATTCTCTTCTGTTCTATTCCATTTTGTTCTATGGAATTTTGAGTGCCTATTACACTAAGAGCTAGGATAATATCATGCTAAAAATATAATAGAGTATACCCAAATAATTCTAGTAAGATTATCAGGAATTTTATTATGAAAGTAAAATAAATTGCTAAAGAAGCACAAAAAGAGATATTATTTATGAGATATAGGCCTTGAAAAAAAATTAATGCGGAAAGGTGGATTTTGAAGAATGAGACAAATATGGAAAGTTGGAGAAAATGTATAAGAAATCTAAGGAAAAGAAACTACTTAAACAACAGCATAGAAACGTGAAACCATCTGGTACATTCAGCAAAGAGCTAGTATAGATGGAGATTTGTAAGGGAGATGGAGAAATGCACGGTTGGTACCAAATTATTATGAGCTTGCAGGCTATGTTGGTAACTTTGGTCTTTTTTTAAATAGTGATAACATACATATAACATAATATTTACCATCCTAACTATTTTTAAGTATATAGCTCAGTGGCATTAAGTACATTCATATTATTCTACAATCACAACCATCCATCTCCATAACTTTTTTATCTTCTCAAACTTAAACTTTATGCCCATGTAACAATAACTTTCTATTCCTCCTCCCTGCCGGCCCTGGAAGCCGTCTTTCTACTTTCTGTCTCCATAAATCTGACAAATATAGGCACTTCATATAAGTAGAATCATGCAGTATTTTTCATTTTGTGACTGGCTTATTTCACTTAACATAAAGTCCTCAAGGTTTATCTATGTTGTAGCACATGTTAGAATTTTCTTCCATTGTATGTGTATACTAAATTTTCTTTATCCATTTATCTGTCGATGGACACTTGAGTCTTTTCCATCTTTTTGGTTTTGTGAATAGTGCCGCTATGAACATGGGTGTACAAATAACTCTTCAAGTCTCTGCTTTCAATTATTTTGTGTATATACCTAGAAGTAAAATTGCTGGATCACGTGTGCTATGTTTTAAATGTTGCCTTCAAAACTCATGTTGGAATTTGATTACCATTGCGACAGTATTAGGAGGTAAAACCTTTGAGAGGTAATGGGGCTGTGAGGGCTCTGTCCTTATGAATGGATTAATGCCTTAATTGCATGAGTGGGTTCTGGGTGGATCACTTGAGGTCAGGAATTCAAAACCATGCTGGTCAACATGGTGAAACCTGTCTCTACTAAAAAAAAAAAAAAAAAAAAAAAAAAATTAACCAGGTATGGTGGCAGGCGCCTGTAATCCCAACTATTTAGGAGGCTGAGGCAGGAAAATTGCTTGAACCCATGAGGCAGAAGTTGCAGTGAGCTGAAATCGCACCACTGCATTCCAGCCTGGGTGACAGAGCAAGACTCTGTCTCAGAAAAAAAAAAAAAAAAAAAAGTAAGTATGGCTCCCCTTTTTGGTGTTCTTTCTCTCTCACTTTCTTTAATCTTCTACTCTTCTGCCATGTGATGAGCAGCATTCTTCTCCTTTAGAGGTTGCAGTGTTCAAGGTGCAATTTTGGAAGAGAAGACCAAGCCCTTACCAGAGACACTGAATCTTTGGTGACTTGATTTTGGACTTTACAGCTTCCAGAACTGTGAGAAACAAGAGACTTTAAAAGTCATCAATGCCTGAATATTCAAAATAATTGAAAAACATTCAACTGCCTATGTTGGAGAAAAGAAGAATAAAGGAAAACAAGACAGTTGTTTTCAAATATATGAAAATCTGTAGGCAAGAAATTGGAATTGAACTTACTTTGAGTAATTCCAACAGCAGAGCCAGAATCAATGGATTGAAGTTACAGAGAGACTAGCTATGTGATCTTTGGCAAACTGGTCTCCTAAACCCTAATGGCCTCCACTTTCACAAATAAAATATGGGAGTAAAAGCAGATGATCTCACCATGTAAGAACAGTATTGTGAAAGAATGTGTAAACTACACTTGGACTGATCTAATTTCTATGGTTCTATGGTTCTGTTATTGGAAATATTTACCCAGAAAATATTATAGGGAAACTATACTTGATGAATATTCATAACAAATTACCTTTGAGGTCTTCTCTAGCTCTCAAACTAGTTCTCAAGCTGTGGATAAAGATTTCTGCCTCTATGGGAAAGATGATGTGTCTGTGAAGATGCTAAGGAATATGTGTTGAACTAACACCAAGTATGCTAAGCATGCTTCAGTACCAAAGGAAGATAAAAGTCTCATACTTGAATTTCCATTGTACTTGCAACAGGTGTCTCATTTCTATCTGCAAAGTCATAAAAATTTATAATGAGGATAACATAAGCTAATACATGAAAAGCACTTAGAATACTGTCAAATACACAATATGAGTTCAGATTCAATTAATATTAGTTATTACTGTTATTATTGGGAATTATATCCATTATTATTTAATATTGTATATCGTAATTATTAAGAGCTTAATTTTTCTACATTAGACTGACCTCGGTTCAAATATTACTTGTGCAAATAAATTCCTGAGCCTGTTTTCTCATTTGTAAAACAGTGAATAATATCATGAAATCATTTGTGAGAGCATACAATATATAATGAATACAGGGTTCCCAGTACTGTATCTTATGTGTCAGAGACAGATAGCTGTCTGGCTCAAATATTCATATTGTGAAATTGTCTTTTGGAAGCAGCTATTCAGAGAGAGACTATAATTTAGAGATTCACATCCAGTGAGATCCCAGCACTAGATCTTGCAACAGAGAAAGTGCAAAGTGATGTGGGCTTTTAAGACTAATAACCTTTCTCATGTCCTCTGTCTCTTTCTCCCCAGCTAGAGGAAAAGCCCTAAGAGATCCTAGCCTGGAGAATCATGGAGCCATGTCGTTAGGAGTTTGAGATCATTATCACAGGTAAGAAAGCCACCCACTAACCAGACCTATCTATATTGAAATTCTATGTGAGAAAAAAAAATTCTTACTATGCCATGCCCTTGACATTTGGAGTTTCATTTGTTATGGCAGTTAAAGTTACTCTTGTTAATATTCATTAAAAGTAGTAAGTGTTGAATACATAATATTTATTTTAATCAAAGTGTCTGAGAAACTGTCTGGAAAATATGAGGTTCTTAAGGAGTAGTAGACATTATTCTTTTAATGCGTCTCAGTGAAAGAATGATATACAGGAGTATGAAGAAAAAGATGTGAATTATATTCCAAATTTTGTACTAATATCAAAGATAATAATACTGGTTCCATTTGATTTTACTATTTATATATTAACTTTTTAATTGAAGTAACTAACAATAAAGCATTATCATATTTACAAAATAGAATTACATCTCTACTTTCTGTTTAGCATCCACTAGATCTACTTTACAAAGTGAAAACAATTTCTTAACTGATCAAATTTTCCTTCTTTAATATCATATTAATTCAATTTTATATATTTTATATAATGTGTATGTAGAGCAAGTAAGTGTTCAGGTTTCAATATCATCTCGTTTTTTATGATAAAAGCCATAAAAATAATGCTTAAAATATATTTATAAACTGAACTTGGATAAGAGAGCGCCCTTTGTAAGTTGAGTGACATAAAATTAAGACACATAAAAGGAAGACTACATATTTGTGAACTGTATAAAACTAAGAGTTTCAGAAAGCAACATAGGCAAAAAAATACAAGTGAATTCAGAGATGGTTTATGGAATGGTATGGACAAGGAAGGCACAGCATTGTCTGGGGAAATATTGTTTGTGATGAAACTTTAAGAGAGGCATAAGGCCATGCCTTGTGCCTCCAAAAATACATCTTTAAGAGACATGTTTCTTACTCAGAAGACTGGCACATTCACTGTTGAAGTGACTACATATGGCAAATTCTTTCTTCTTATGCTGAAATTGTACACAGTGAATGTTAAGGCCAGTTCATCTTAATTAAGCAAACATGATAACTTAGAATTTTTTTTTTTTTTGAGATAGAGTTTGTTCTGTCGCCAGGTGTGAGCCACCACGACTGGCCAGAATATAAAATTTTGATGGATTAAGACATTAATAAGCTCAGTTAATCAGATAATACTTATCACATTGTTTTTAAGAAGTTAATGATCAATTTTAAAAGTTAAGATCTAGGGTATATACTGAATTCCTAATTGTTTCAATATCTCATGAAATAGTGAGTTTTATGATCAAATTTGGTGCATTTCATTCACAGAATGATTAACAAAAGAAGGTTTCTATACATGTTCACATCTAATTATGAGTCATGTAAAATACATTATCATGTTAGCCATGGAAGTGTAATACAAATAGGCCATTTTGATGTTTCCTTCCCATTTTTAGATTTTAAAAATTTGTTTTCAAGAAATTCATAGATAATACATTGAGCAAAATTAGGCAACAACCTGATCTGTTGAATAATTAATTGGTTTTCCCTTTTGTTAGTTCATGATGTGTAGGCTAAGAATAAATTTTAAATAAAATTCTGTTAACTAAGAAAGCATCCTACAAATATATCAACTCTGTTTGGAAATATGTTGTGAAATGGATGTGTTAAACTTATGTTAAATAATACTATAGCGTATCTATGAATTTTTTATTTCACCAACCACTCTTGCTTTTTCATTTACTATACTTGCCACTATATATTACAGATTGAAGCAAACTTGTGACACTAGATTATATGTGTTTATTGATGAGCATCTTGCCTTTTATTAAATATAGCAATTCATTAACTCAGAATTGTAATTTACCTTTTTGCTCAAAATTAGTATTTGGGAAAGCATACTCTTTTTTTTTTTTTTACCTTACACACAAACTTTTTCTGGAAATTTGAAATAAAAATAAACATGTGCTCATGCATAAAATTAAATGTGTCTTTTTTTTTTTTTTTTTTTTAAGAGACAGAGTCTCACTCTGTTGCCCAGGCTGATGTGCAGTGGCACGATCTCGGCTCACTGCAACCTCCGCCTCCTGGGCTCAAGCGATTCTCCTGCCTCAGCTTCCCAAATAGCTGGGACTACAGGCACGCACCACCATGCCCGGCTACTTTTTGTATTTTTAGTAGAGACAGGGCTTCACCATATTGGCCAGGCTGGTCTCGATCTCCTGACCTCGTGATCCTCCCGCCTCGGCCTCCAAAGTGCTGGGATTACAGGCTTGAGCCACCGTGCCCGGCCAATTAAATGTGTCTTAAAGACAATTTGTGATTTTTATGGAAGAAGAACAGAAACTGCATTTTATTTTTTGTCTTAAATTCAAGTCACTCTTTCTTATAAGACTTAGCTTTTTAAAGTTCATTTTAGTCAATCAACTTAGAAATTTATCTCCGTTTGTTGGTACCATATTAGTGAGTAATGACATAAAGGCATGCTCTTTATATTGCAAGTCTATGCTTACTGATTGCATTGCAATATAAAGAGCATGCCTTACTTTGATATAGCCAGAATTGCTATACCAGAGCAGATGGGCTGGGCGTGGTGGCTCACGCCTGTAATCCCAGCACTTTGGGAGGCCGAGGCAGGCGGATCACGAGGTCAGGAAATCGAGACCATCCTGGCTAACACGGTGAAACCCTGTCTTTACTAAAAAATACAAAAACAATTAGCCGGGCGTGGTGGCGGGCGCCTGTAGTCCCAGCTGCTGGGAGGCTGAGGCAGGAGAATGGCTTCAACCTGAGAGGCGGAGCTTACAGTGAGCCGAGATCGCGCATCCCGAGCGACAGAGTGAGACTCCGTCTCAAAAAAAAAAAAAAAAAAAAAAAACCATAAAAGTAAAAATTTTAAAAAAAGAAAGAAATAGAGCAGATGCAAGTCTGACTCTCTTTCAGATTTAAAATTTTACAAAGTTAGCCTGCAGTGCATTGAAAGACAAAGCTTTCTCGTGTTCTCGTGTTTTCAGAGTTGAAGAAAGTCCCTACCAGATAATAGATGTACATTTGTTGAGTGAATAAATCCAACAGTTAGGAAGCTTAACTGCTCAGAACCCAGTTCAGTAAGCACAGCTTCCTTCCATCTCCCAGGTGAAAGGAGAGAGTTATGAGACAGAATTTTCTACATAATTTTTATTCATCTTGTGTGAAGTCATTAACATGTAAATGATAGATTCTTTTATTCCTCTACTTTCGTTTTGTGATTTGACCTAGAGAGCTTGGAATCATCCATATATTTTCAACAAATGAATCTACAGCATTAACTCACAAAGCAAAATATATTATTTGGTGTTTTGGCATTTCATTATTACTCCTGAGAAAAGCTCAGAAAACTGACACAACTGCATGGTGCTGGTTACACTTCGTTCTTATGAGAACAGAAATATGCTTTTTGTTTTTACATTTTCTGAGTTGTCTTGGGAGCAAAACTGCCTCCAGCTACAAATGGGCTTAGTTGCCCACGTCCATCTTGCGGGTGTCACCTGTTAAGGTGAAGAGTCTGGAATAGCCCAGACACATTATGTATGGGTGGCCTTTTGTTTACCACAGACAAAGCCCAAATCCTGGGGATTACTTGAAGATATCATATAACACACAAGATGGAGTTACTATTATTCTCCTCTAAGACATATAGTGTTTCCCCTGGGCAGAGGAAAGAACACATAGCCAATCACATGAAGGCAGAACCCATTAAAGATTTACGCAAGCCCGAATTACTTGGCTTTAAACTATTTTTTTTCCTTTTTCTCTCTCTTTTTTTCTTTATTAGGAGAGGCGTCCCTTCCTGAACAGCAAAGCTGATGTAGATAGTATCACTAGTAATCCTTGGCTTAAGCACAGAGCTTCTAAATGGCTTGAATTAGGCTGGAAGATGGGGCTGTTTGATTTCCTTTCCTTTTTGTTTCTGTTTTTAAGGCTCTGTCACCAAATGTCCCACTAAACTAGCATTTATGTGGGCTTGGGACCTCTGTGTGTAAGTTTCCTTTTAAGCATAGTCAATGAAATAGCTCTGAAGCTGTTGAACTGTGTAAATGTTATATTAACATTTTCTCTCGCAATTATAGACATTTACATGGTCTTGTTGAAATAGCACTTTCAGAGGGAGGAAAAAAATACCAGAAGTGAAGGTACACAGTGAAATGAAAAAGCAGCAGTGTGCTCTATTTATTTAGTTTCTGAAATAAATCATTTCGACTTTTAATTTACACTTCTCTAGGATGGTGGTTAAGAATAGACAAACAAAGGATACTGACAGAAATAATTTCATCTTGTTCCTTTGTTACATTAGATCATTTAATTTCCACATTTCATTTGGTTTGCATATGGAGATTTGACCAATGCACCTTGTTCTTTAACTTTGCTAACTAATAACAAGGACTCAGGAAGCTCATTCTAAAGACCTAAGACTCATGGATGATGATTCAAAAATTATGAGACTACAAGTAGTTGTCCAGTTATAAGGAGAAAGGCAAATAGAGTAAATTAGACATTAATCCAAAGTATTCCCAACTATCCATGTCTCTAACAGGAACCATAATGTGCTTTCAAATTGAAAAGTGATTTGAATCATTCCAATAACTACCACCTGTGTCACTGCATGCAGTCTGATGAGCAGTCTGATGCTGGAGAAAATATAATCACTAAGATCCTAAGGAAATATTTTAGGAGTCTAATTTTGGTCCCTTTCCACACACAAAACAATCATTTACTGATGCACAGTGTTTGTAAAATGCTTGAAATATTTTTCTCCTTTCACATTGATACTACTAAATTTAGTTTATCTAAAGATCAATACTAGTAACCTTAACATTAGTTATTTTCATGGGGTTTTTTGCTCTTGATAGACTTCTATTCAATGGTAGACTTGTTTTATCATGGATAAAAATGTATATGTTTTTTATCTTTGCACCAATTCAAAGCAAAGAACATATTTGTGATGGAACCGTTGCTCACCAACTGTGATCTCTCCACTAGTCTGACAGTTGCTTTCTTTCCAGCAGGACTCATATGCAAAATGGACAGACATTGATCCTCAACGCAGCATCACATTTTGTTATACACATTTCAGAAGCTGATAGCAGTAATCTTCTATAAGTCTCTGTCTACACATCATTGCACTTTTACAGTTAAGCTTTAAAAACTACATTGCTATATAAGAATTTCTACAGCTTGGCTATGTAATTGATTTTCAGTTCTTAAAGTTATGTTCTTGAAAACCTAAATTGGTTGGTCTTCATGTGATCACTAGACACAGATATTATGTTAAAATCCAAACAAAAAGTTGTGTAGTATTTTTTTTCAAATTTTCCTACTTGATTTTGGAACCACATTCACAAATTTTATTATCGGACAAGGAAACAGATTAATGCAAGAGTCAAAACTACAATTATGTATGTTAAAGATAATGAAGATATGAAATATTCCCTTTTGATGTGCATCTTCACTTAAACTAAAATTTTAGATTGAGGACATTTTTTAATTTAAATTTATTTTATAAAACATTGATATAAATTTTATTAATTATAATTTAATCCCTTGTGTCAACTTACATGTTTAAAGTGTTTAAATTTTTAAAATTTAAGTGGTTGAGTGAGCTTACTTTAATCTGATAAAATGTCAGTTCTGATATTCACGAAATCTCTCTGGTTGACATTATCTCAGGAAAAACACTGCTTTGGCCAGCAAATTAACCTATATGGAGCCAAGTTAGATTCTTTCTTAAAAATAAAATCAAGAAATTTGACCTGCGACCTTAGCAAGCCCAAAATTTTCTTATTTATTGGCAAAAGTAGTTCTAGAGTTTCAGATTGTTTTTTATTGGAAGATAATGTGCTATTTAATAAAAACTTACTACCTTTTAAATACCTGAAATCTCCTGCAAAAGCAAATTCATGGAACAAAAGAAAAAATTCCCAATATAAAACATTCTTGGGAGTGAAATTGTATTTTAATGAGGAATTCACAAAGTTATGAAAATCAAGGAGTCAGAGTGAAAAAATTTCCCAAGTTAATGAGCCATTTATAATTTGAGAAAAGATCCAAATTTAAGGATCAGTTTCATATGATCAATAAGACTAATTTCAGCAGAACTCACTTATCTAATAATGTCAGCCATCTGAAACACAAACAAAAAAACAAAATGGAAGCAAAAAACTTTTGCTAAGAATCCAAAAAAAATTTACAAAATTGAAAGCACTTATAAAAATGCTATGTATGTATACAAAATCCCTGAGGTAGCTTTACCCTTTCACTCAACACACTTTCCCATAATCCCTGGTGTAACTCTCTTCCCAGCTCTATTATAAGCTACATCATGGAGCTGAAGCAAGTATTATTTGTCTTTATTTCCTTTAACCTATAGTATATATTAGGGTATCAATAAACATAAGTTAACTAAATGAATTTTAAAAAGTAGTCAATAAAAGAGAAATTATTTTGTGTATGAGGTCTTTGAGCAGAAATCTAAGTTATGGCCTTGAGAAGCATGTGAAATCACTACGAAGTCTTAAGAAGCAGACAGACGTATAGTGAATCAGCTAAGGGAGACTGGCTAAGCCTGTGAAATTCACTGTCAGGAATATTTTCATCGAGGTTATTGAGTAAACTAAAATTGGTCAGCTAAAAGATGATCAATATTTAGAGAAAATGAAGAAATACTGTCTTTTTTAAAAGACTGCAACTATAAAGAATTATAGGAAAAACAGCTGCAACTGCCCAACTTGCAATTTTCAACTTACATTTGTAATCAGTTTATACAGTAATGAAGAGTGACTGATACTCTTATGGAGGGTCTAATGGTCATAGGAAATTTTATTCCCTCTTCTATTCAATGACTCAGGATTGTTTTCTTCCATTTCTTCAAAATTCCTCATATCTACTGAAATGCTCTAGGATTTCCAGTCCTAAGTTCACCCCTTGTCTGAGATAATTTCTTCTATGGCAGAATTTGTGAATTAAAAAAAAAATCAACCCTTTGATTTATCCTCACTGTGCCTTGATTACAAATGAAGTTGAGCACTTTCTCAACTCTTCATGAGCCACTTTTATTTCCTTTTCTGTAAAACCCGCAATCATTTATTTTGCCTATTTTCCTGCTTGCTTCTTTTTGTTGTTCTTCTTGATTCATAGTATTTGTTAAATTTTTAGGATATTAAACCTTATTGGAATTGGATGTTGCAAATATCTTCTCCCAAATTTCGATTTGTGGCTTCCTTCCCTTTTTCCCTGCCTCCTGCCACCACATAAAGTTGCGGTTTGTGTGTTTCAATGAAGAGAAGTGGCTTCCCCCCTTCTCAGAGGAAGGTTCAGGATTCAGGGGGTACATGGGCAGGTTTGTTACATGGGCAAATTGTGTGTAACTGATGTTTGGTGCACTGAGGTTTGGTGCACAAATGACCCTATCACTTTGGTAGTGAGCATAGTACCCAATAGGTAGTTTTTCAACTTTTGCCCCTTTCCTCCCTTCCCCTGGGTAACCCCCAGTGTCCAGTGTCTATTATTCCCATGTTTATGTCCATGTGTAGTCCATGTTTAGCTCCCACTTATAAGCGAGAACATGTGGTATTTGGTTTCCTTTCCCTGTGTTAATTTGCTTAGGATATTGGCCTCCAGCCGCATCCATTTGCTGCAAAGGACATTACTTCATTCTTTTTTATGGCTCCATAGTATTCCATGGTGTATATGTACCACATTTTCTTTATCCAGTCCATTGTTGATGGACATCGAGGTTGATTCCATGTCTTTGCTATTGTGAATAGTGCTGATATAAACACATAAGTGTGAGTGCATGTGTCTTTTTGGTGGAACAATTTATTTTGTGGCAGGGGGCGGGCATACCCAGTAATAGCGTTGCTGGGTCAAATGGTAGCTCTGGTTTTAAGTTATTTGAGAAATACCCAAACTGCTTTCCACAATGGCTGAACTAATTTACATTCCCGCCAACAGTATATAAGCATCCCCTTTTCTCCACAACCTTGACAATATTGGTTATTTATTGTCATTTGAATAATAGCCATTCCGACTGTTGTGAGATATTATCTCCTTGTAGTTTTGATTTGCATTTCTCTAATGACTAGTGATGTTGAGCATTTTTTAAATATATTTGTTGGCTGCATATATGCCTCCTTTGAGAAGTGTCTGTTCATGTCTTTTGCCCAATTTTAATGAGTTGATTTATTTTTCTGTTTAATTGTTTAAATTCCTTATAAATTCTGAATACTAGACCTTGGTCAAATGCATAGTTTCAAATATTTTCTCTCATTCTGTAGGTTGTGTATTTACTCTGTGGATAGTTTCTTTTGATGTGCAGAAGCTCTTTAATTAGTTTCCAGCTGTCAATTTTTGTTTTTGCTGCAATTGCTTTTGATGACTTAGCCAAAAATTCTTTGTCAAGGCCAATGTCAAGAAGGGTATTTTCTAGGGTTTTTTTCTAAAATGTTTATAGTTTGAGATTTTATAGTTAAATTTTTAATCCATCTTGAGTTAATTTTTGTCTATAGTAAAATGTAAGGATACAGCTTGATTCTTCCCCATATGAGTAGCCTGTTTTCTCAGCACCAATTATTGAATAGGGAGTCCTTTTCCCATTGCTTGTTTTTGTCACCCTTGTCAAAGATCAGATGGTTATAGTTGTGTGGCTTTATTTCTGGGTTTTCCATCTTGTTCCTTTGTTCTATGTGTCTGTTTTCGTACCAGTACCATGCTGTTTTGGTTACAGTAACTGTATTAAGGTTCTCCAGAGGGATGGAAGTAATAGAATACATGTATATATGAAAGGGA
Organism: Homo sapiens; assembly: GCF_000001405.40. Classification (NCBI taxonomy): domain Eukaryota; kingdom Metazoa; phylum Chordata; class Mammalia; order Primates; family Hominidae; genus Homo; species Homo sapiens. The sequence continues at coordinate 111,525,080 of NC_000004.12, forward strand.
GTTTATTAGAGAGAATTGGCTCACATGATTACTAGGTGAAGTTCCACAATAGGCTGCCTGCAAGCTGGGGAAGAGAGAAGCCCGTAGTGGCTCAGTTGGAATCTGAAAGCCTCAAAACCAAGGAAGTTGAGGGTGCAGCCTTCAGTCTGTGACAGAAGGCCCAAAAGGCCCAGGTAAGACTCTGGCAAGTCTGAGTCCAAAGGCTGAAGAACCAGAAGTCTGATGTTTAAGGGCAGGAGGAGTGGAAGGAAGCATCCAGCACAGGAAAAAGAAGGAAACCAGAAAATTCAGCTAGCAAGGTTATCCCACCTTCTCCACCTGCTCTGTTCTACCCGTGCTGGCAGCAGATTGCATGGTGCCCATATACATTGAGGGTGAGTCATCCCTTCCCAGTCTGCCAACCCAAATGTCAATCTCCTCTAGCAACATTCTTACAGACACACTAGAAACAATACTTTACCAGCCATCTATGCATCCTTCAATCCAATCAGGTTGACACCTAATATTAACCATCACAGTAACCTTATAGTTTAGTTTGAAGTCAGTTAGCGTAGTGCCCCCAGCTTTGTTCTTTTTGCTTAGAATTGCTTTGGCTATTTGTTATCTTTTTTGCTTCCATGTGAATTTTAGAATAGTTTTTTCCTAATTCTGTGAAAAATAACATTGTTGGTTTCATAGGAATAGTGTTGAATTGTAGATTGCTTTGGGCATTATGGCCATTTTAATGATATTGATTATTCTGATCCTTGAGCATGGGATGTTTTTCTATTTGTTTGTATGATCTATCATTTATTTCACCAGAGTCTTACAGCTCTCCTTGTAGAGACCCTTCACGTTCTTGGTTAGATGTATTCCAAAATATTTTATTTCTATTGTGGCTACTGAAAATAGGATTGTGTTTTGATTTGGTTCTCAGCTTGAATGTTATTGATGTATAGAAATGCTACTAATTTTGAACACTGATTTTGTATACTGAAACTTTTTTGAAGTCGTTTATCAGCTCTAGAAGCCTTTCCATGGAGTCTTTAGGGATTTCTAGGTATAGTGTCATATCATCAACATAAAAATAATTTGACTTCTTTTCCTATTTGAATGCTTTATATTTTTTTCTCTTGCCTGGTTGCTTTGGATAGGGCTTCTATTACTATGTTGAATAGGAGTGGTGGAAGTGGGCATCCTTATCTTATTCTAGTTCTTAAGGAGAATGCTTCCAGTTTTTGCCTATTCTATATAACGTTGGCTGTGAGTTTATCCTAGATGATTCATATTGTTTTATGTTCCTTCGATGCCTAGTTTGATGAGGGTTTTTATTATGAAGGGATGTCGATGTTATAAAAAGTTTTTCTGCATCTATTGAAATGATAATATGATTTTGGCTTCTAATTCTGTTTATTTGGTGAAACACGTTTATTGATTTGTGTATGATGAACCAGCCTTGAATCCCAGGAGCTTAATTGATTACGGTGAATTAACTTTTTGATGTACTGCTGGATTTGGTTTGCTTATATTTGGTTGAGGATTTTTGCATCTATGTTGAGCAGAGACATTGACCAGTAGTTCTCTTTTTTTGTTGAGTCTTTGCCAGATTTTGGTATCAGAGTGATGCTGGCTTCATAGAACAGGTTAGGGAGGAGTCCCTTCTCTATTTTTAAAAATAGTTTCAGTAGGATTGATACAAGCTCTTCTTTGTCTGGTGCAATTTGGCTGTGAATACAACTGATCCAGGATTCTTTCCTGCCGGTAGTTTTTTTACTGATTCAATTTCAGATCCTGATATTGGTCTGCTCAGGGTTTTGATTTCTTCCTGCTTACTCTTGGGAAGTTGTGGGTTTCCAAGAATTTTTCCATTTCCTATAGATTTTCTAGTTTGTGTGCATAGACATGTTCACCTAATGGGCTCTGAGGATCTTTATATTTCTGTGGGATCAGTTGTAATGTTAACTTTGTCCTTTCTGATCGTGCTTATTTTGTTCTTTTTTGTTGTTGTTAATCTAGATGGCAGTTATCAGTCTATTGATTTTTTTAAATAACCAGTTTTTGTTTTTGATGATCATTTTATGGATTTGGGGGGTCTCAATTTCATTCAGTTCTACTCTAATTTTGGTTGTTTCTTTCTTTCTGCCTGTTTTGGGGTTAGTTTGTTCTTGTTTTTCTAGTTCCTCTAGGTGTGGTATTAGATAGTTAATTTGAGATCGTTCTGAGGTGTTTTTTTGTTTGTTTGTTTGCATTCCAGTAAGTTTCCCAGTTTCTAACTTCTTGATGTAGGCATTTAATGCTATAAACTTTCCTCTTAACACTGCTTTAACTATATCCCAGAGATTTTGGTTTTCATTTATTTTAAAGAATTTTTTAAACTTCTGCTTAATTTTGTTGTTTACTCAAAAGTCATTCAGGAGCAAGTTGTTTAATTTCCATGTATTTTGTGGTTTTGAGGAATTTTCTTGGTACTGATTTATAATTTTATTGTACAGTGGTCTGAAGGTATGGTTGGTATGATTTTGATTAATTTGAATTGATTAAGACTTGCTTTATGGCTGAGCATGTGGTCAATCTTAGAGTATATTCCATGTGCAGATGAGAAGAATGTGTATTCTGTGGTTAATGGGTGGAGTATTCTGGAGATATTTATTAGATCCAGTTGATCAGCAGTCAAATTTAGGTCCAGGGCTTATAAGTTTTCTGCCTTGATAATTTGTCTAATACTGACAGGGGGTTTTGCAGTCCCCCACTATTATTTTGTGACTAAGTCTTTCCATAGGTCTAGGAATACTTGTTTTATGAATCTGGGTGCTCCACTGTTAGGTCTATATGTATTTAGTATAGCGAAATCATTTTGTTGGGTTGAAGCCTTTATCATTATTTAGTACTATTTTTTGTCCCTTTATTCTTGATTTAAAGTGTGCTTTATCTGACATAAAAAGAGCGACCTCTGCTCGTTTTTGTTTTCCATTTGAGTGACAGATTTTTCTCCAATATTTTACTTTGAGCCTACAGGTATTGTTACATGTGAGATGGTTTTCTTGAAGACAATAGAGGGATGGGTCATGGTATTTTTTGTGTTTTAATCCAACTTGCTACTCAATTCTTTAAAGTGGGCATTAAGGCTATTTACATTCAGGGTTAATATTGATATGTGAGGCTTTGATTCTATCATATAATTGTTAAGCTTGTTATTTTGCACTTCCTATTGGGTAGTTGCTTTAAAGGATCTGTGGGCTATGCACTTAGTTGTGGTTTTGTGGTAGCAGATATTGCTCTTCCATCGTCATGTTTAGAACTCACTTAAGGATCTCTTGTAAGGCTAGTTTAGTGGTAATAAATTTCCTTAGTGATTATTTGTCTAAAAAAGATTTTATTTCTCCTTCACTTGTGAAGCTTAGTTTGGCAGGGTAGGAAATTCTTTGTTGGAGTTCCTTTTCTTTGAGAATGCTGAAAATAGGCTACCAGTGTCTTCTGACTTGTAGATTTCTGCTGATAAGCCCACTGTTAACCTGATGGGGTTCTCTTTGTATGTGATCTGACCTTTTTCTCTAGCTGCCTTTCAGATTTATTGTTTACCATTGACCTTACACAGTCTGGTGACTATATGCCTTGGTGATGTTCGTTTTGTATAGTATCTGGCAGGTGTTCTCTGGATTACTTTTATCTGGATGTCTACCTCTCTAGTAATATTAGAGATTTTCTGGAATTATTTACTCAAATACACTTTCCAGGTTATTTTTTTTCTCGTTCTCTCTCAGGAATGCCAATAATTCATAGCTTTGGTCACTTTGCATAATCCCATATTTCTCTGAGACTTTGTTCATTTCTTAAAAAATTATGTTTTTTTGTCTGACTGGATTAGTTCAAAAGACAATCTTCAAACTCTGAAATTCTTTCTTCTGCTTGGTCTAGTCTATTAATAAAGCTTTCAATTGTATTTTGAAATTCCTTAACGGAGCTTTTCAGCTTCAGTAGCTCTGATTGATCTTTTAAAGATGTTTACTTCTTTTATTTCCTGGATTGCTTTACAAATTTCTTTGTGTTGATTTTCAATCTTATCTTGGATCTTATTGAGTTTTCCTGCAATCCATGCATTGAATTCTCCATCTGTCATCTCTATGCCTCCATTTTGGCTACAGATCTTTGTTGGGAGTCAGAGTAAGCCTTTGGTGATGTCACAACATTTATTTTTCATTACGGCAGAATTCTTTTCTGATTCCTTCTCATCTCGAGAAGGCTGTGTTGGGCAGGGATTTTTTTGCTTTGTTTCTATAGTCCTGTGTATTTCTGTCAACAGGTTTTCTATTGAGCTGTGTGGTTCACCCTATGGGCCAAAAGATGGTGTTTATAGGTAAGAGCCAGCTGCTGCACAAGCAGGTGTGTGTGGACTTGATCTTTGTTTACTATGAGGTGCTCTCTGTTGTTTCAGGTGAAGGGTTGGACAGTGGGGTGCCTGGTAGCCTGACCTCCCTTTTCTGTGGGAGAGGACATAGCTGGGTAGAGCTAGAACCCCTGGCTTAGCCACAAATATCCCAATGGCAAGTCCACACACCAGTCCTGATGAGGGTGTCTGGGAGGAACTCCTGGTGAAGTGTACTGAGGTGTCTGTGGTGGGAGGGAAGTGAGGGGGCTCTACTAGCTCCCCATCTTAGATAGGTAGGCACACAATCTGTTACTCTATCACACCCTTGTTCCAGGGCTTGTGATTCCTAGTTCAGATGCACATTGTAGTCTATCCAGACCACAATGTGGTTGAGAGCCACAAGGAAAGCTTTTTGTCTCATTTAGCATTATGGTAGATTACGCTAGGAGAATTTTCTATTGTTAAAAACCCTGAAGTGACATCATCTTGATCATGATTTATTATTTTTATATAATGCTAGTTTCAATTAGTTGATTTTCTTTTAAATTTCTTTTTCTGTTTCCAAGTGAATGTAGTCTCTAATTTTCCTTGTCTGTACTATCCATATCAGTTCTGAGGACCAAAGTTAGACTATGTTCATAAAATGAGTTAAGGAGTGTTTCTACATTTTCTACAATGTAGAACATTTTGTGTAAGATTTGATAAATTTGCTGATTGAATAATTGATATATTTTATTGGTAGAAGTATCTTTTATTGGTGAAAGCATCTTTATGGAAAGTTTTTTGGGATGATGCTTTTTAACTCATTTGATTATTTAACTGTTATTTGATTTATTTAATTGGTTTTCTATGTCTTTTAAAGTTTTTATGTAATCTTTTTTCTAGGAATTTGCCCATTTTATTTAAGTTTTGAATTTTATTTGCACAAAGCTATTCAAAAATTAATGTTACTGATGATACAATGCACATATAATATATATATAACAAAATACTTACATACCATTTACTATGTGCTAATGCTATTCTAACTGCTACCATTACCATATATTAACTTATTTAATCTCAACACTATTTATTGATACAGATTCTGTTATTTTCCCTTTTTTATAGGTGGTGTAAATGAACCAGAGAAAGATCAACTAACTTGACTATGAAGTCACTGTTAATAAGTTGTGGAGTTTAGATATAAACACACCCAATCTGATCAGGGGATCTGGACTCATAACTGTATACATTACATGACCTCTTACTCACTACAAATGCAGTCGTAGTTATGTGCTCTTTTTCTTTGCTAAAATCATTTATTTATGTCTACATCCTTCGTGTCTTGATCAACCTTGCCAGTGGTTTGTCAATTTTATTAGATTTTTTTCAAGCATCCATATTTGCTTTTTTCATCTTTTTCACCATACATTAGCTTATCATTAATTTCTTTTACTTATTATTTTATATCTATAATTTATTTCCTCCTAATTTATTTTGGATGATAATTCTTCTGTTTTCCTGTTCTGAACTTAGTAAGATGGTTACTTAGAAAACTAATGTTTTTCTTTCTATTATAAGGATTCATGCTATATATGTTTTATTCTACCAAGTTCTAAAAATTTTCACCTGTGTATCACAAGTTTTTAAATGTAGGGTTTTCATTATTATTTCATTCTAAGCATTTTTCACCAGTATGATTTTTTAAAGCTATTTGTTAGTTTATAATGTCTTCCTAAATTTTTTAACTTGGCTTGTTTCTGCTTAGTTTTATGTGTTTTTTGTTGTTTAGTTTCAGCTTAATTTGTTTGTTGTTAGAGAACATTATTGCCATGATGATTGCTGAGTTTTACTTTATAGCCCAGTATATGTTCAAAGTTTAGTACAGTATGTGTTTAAAAATAATACACACTTTGCAGTTTTTGAATGAAAAGTTTTATGTGACTTACTTAGATCTAACTTGTTTTGTTGACTGAAACTTCTGTGCTATTACTTGAAACTTTTATTTGCTTTATCTATCTAATTTTGAGATAGGCATTTTTAAATTTCTCCACAATGATTATGAACTTTTATATTTTTCTTTGTAGTGCTATTATTTTTGCTTTATTGTTTTAAGGCTACGTTACTTATTGCATTGGAGATTGAAACTTATATTTCCCTGGTAAATACATCTTTTAATAATTATTCTTTGCTCTCTTTATTACCAGACATGCTTTGAAAATTTTAAACATCTTTTTAAACTCTAATATGGCTTCATCAGCTTACTAGAAGCCATGCCCTCCATTATTTTTTTAGTAGTTTTGTAATCAGTGAAAATGCTGATTTTAGTTATCAAGATCTAAAATTAATCAGTGTATTACCCTCCTTGTGAATAATCAAACACAATTCTAAATGTATATTCACTCTTCTCATAAATTAAGTTTAACCTTAAAATTAATATTATTAGTTTAAAAAGTCAAAGCTGACTAATACTTTTCTCACTTTTTTTTAAATTATTTCTCCTTGCATCCAGACTGTCATCTGGTAACATTAAACATGTATTATATTAAATATATCTTTAAATTTTTTTCTTAATGAGATACCCTTGGTTGTAAAGTCTCAATCTTGTTGATTCAAAACTATCTTTAAGTCACCCTTGTCCTGTCCAAAGAAATATGTACTATGTAATGAATTCTAACTTGAAAGTTATTTTTGCTCACCACACTAAAGATAATAATCCTTTGGCTTCTAGATTACTACTGCAATTCTTGGAGTATTTTTCTTTCTCTCATCTTCATATAGTCTTATATTCCTGAATCAGTGAACCATCAGTGGAGAGCGAAACAAAACTATCACTTCAGGATGACAAAGTCACTATGGGCATTATAAGGATAGTCCAGTTATTTTCATTTTTGCTCTAATACAAGGTTTCTCAATCCCAGCACGGTTGACATTTTGAACCAGCTAATTGTTTTTTATGTTGGAGGCTTCCTGTGCATTTAAGATGTTTAGCAGCATCTCTGGCCTCTATTCACTAGATGCCAGTAAATATCTCCATTCCAGTTGTAAAAAAACAATGTCTCCAAATATTGCCAAAAATCCTGTGTTTGCTAAGGAGGCGGGGGGCAAGGTGGAGGGGCAGGCAGCACTGCTGCTCTAATACAAAGGACCTTATGGTTGGGAATAATTTCTTCTACATGTTCACATTAAGTTGACTTTCTACTCTAATTTAGAATATTGTAAATTTTTGTATTGTTCTGTGTTTTTATAGATATTTTGGAGAAAAAACTACTTGCACCAAATGAAATAATGAGAGGCTATTTTAAATCAAAATATCAGAGATATTTTAAATACTAAATTTTAAAAGTTACTAATATTTTTCTATTTTTTATTTATTACACTTTAAGTTCAGGGATATGTGTGCAGAACGTGCGGTTTGTTACATAGGTATGTATGTGCCGTGGTGGTTTGCTGCACCCATCAACCTGTTATCTAGGTTTTAAGCCCCTCACGCATTAGGTATTTGTCCTAATGCTCTCCCTCCCCTTGCCCCCCACTCCCTGACAGGCCTCAGTGTGTAATGTTCCCCTCCCTGTGTCCACGTGTTCTCATTGTTCATCTCCCACTTATGAGTGAGAACTTGTGGTGTTTGGTTTTCTGTTCCTGTGTTAGTTTGCTAAGAATGACGGTTTCCACCTTCATCCATGTCGCTGCAAAAGGCATGAACTCATCTTTTTATGGCTGCATAGTATTCCATGGTGTTTATGTGCCACATTTTCTTTATCCAGTCTATCATTGATGGGCATTTGGGTTGGTTCAAAGTCTTTGCTATTGTGAATTGCGCTGCAATAAACATATGTGTTCATGTGTCTTTATACTAGAATGATTTATAATCCTTTGGGTATATACCCAGTAATGGGATTGCTGGGTCATTTCTGGTATTTCTGGTTCTAGATCCTTGAGGAATCAATCGCCACACTGTCTTCCACAATGATTGCACTAATTTACACTCCCACCAACAGTGTAAAAGTGTTCCTATTTCTCCACATCGTCTCTAGCATCTGTTGTTTCCTGACTTTTTAATTATCACCATTCTAACTGGTGTGAGATAGTATTTCATTGTGGTTTTGATTTGCATTTCTCTGATGACCAGTAACGATGAGATTTTTTTCATATGTTTGTTGGCTGCACAAACTTTTTGAGAAGTGTCTGTTCATATCCTTTGCCCACTTTCTGATGGGGTTGTTTTTTTCTTGTAAATTTAAGTTCCTTATAGATTCTGGATATTAGCCCTTTGTCAGATGGATAGATTGCAAAAATTTTCTCCTATTCTGTACATTGCCTGTTCACTCTGACAATAGTTTCTTTTTCTGTGCAGAAGCTCTTGAGTTTAATTAGATCCCATTTGTCTATTTTGGCTTTTCTTGCCATTGCTTCTGGTGTTTTAGGCATGAAGTCTTTGCTCATGCCTATACCCTGAATGGTATTGCCTAGGTTTTCTTCTAGGGTTTTTATGGTTTTAGGTTTTACATTTAAGTCTTTAATTCATCTTGAGTTAATTTTTGTATATGGTATAAGGAAGGGGTCCAATTTCTGTTTTCTGCTTATGGCTAGCCAGTTTTCCCAGCACCATTTATTAAATAGGGAGTCCTTTCCCCATTGCTTGTTTTTGTCACGTTTGTCAAAGAACAGATGGTTGTAGATGTGTAGTGTTATTTCTGAGGCCTCTGTTCTGTTCCATTGGTCTATATATCTGTTTTGGTACCAGTACCATGCTCTTTTGGTTACTGTAGACTTGTACTATATAGTTTGAAGTCAGGTAGCATGATGCCTCCAATTTTGTTCTTTTTCCTTAGGATTGTCTTGGTTATATAAGCTCATTTTGGTACCATATGAAATTTAAAGTAGTTTTTTTCTAGTTCTGTGAAGAAAGTCAATGGTAGCTTGATGGAGATAGAATTGAATCTATAAATTACTTTGGGCAGTATAGCCATCTTCAGGATATTTGATTCTTTCTATCCATGAGCATGGAATGTTTTTCCATTTGTTTGTGTCCTGTCTTTATTTTCTTGAGCAGTGGCTTGTAGTTCTCCTTGAAGAGTTCCTTCACGTCTCTTGTAAGTTGTATTTCAAGGTATTTTATTTTCTTTTTAGCAATTGTGAATGGGATTTCACTCATGATTTTGCTCTGTTTGTCTATTATTGGTGTATAGTAATGCTTGTGATTTTTGCACACTGATCTTGTATCCTGAGACTTTGCTGAAGTTGCTTATCAGCTTAAGGAAATTTTGGGCTGAGACGATGGGGTTTTCTAAATATACAATCATGTCATCTGCAAACAGAGACAATTTGACTTCCTCTCTTCCTATTTGAACACCCTTTATTTCTTTCTCTTGTCTGATTGCCCTGGCCAGAACTTCCAATACTATGTTGAATAAGAGTGGTGAGAAAGGGCATCCTTGTCTTGTGCCAGTTTTCAAAGGGACTGCTTCCAGCTTTTGCCCATTCAGTATGATATTGACTGTGGATTTGTCATAAATACCTCTTATTATTTTGAGATACATTCCATCAATACCTAGTTTATTGAGAGTTTTTAGCAAGAAGAGGTGTTGAATTTTATCAAAGGCCTTTTCTGCATCTATTGAGATAATCATGTGGTTTTTGTCATTGGTTCTGTTTATGTGATGGATTACATTTATTGATTTGTGTATGTTGAACCAGCCTTGCCTCCTAGGTATGAAGCTGGCTTAATCATGGTGGATAAGTTTTTTGATGTGCTGCTGGATTTGGTTTGCCAGTATTTTATTGAGGATTTTCACATCGATGTTCATCAGGGATATTGGCCTGAAATTTTCTTTTTTTGTTGTGTCTCTTCCAGGTTTTGGTATCAGGATGATGCTGGCTTCATAAAAGGAGTTATGGAGGAGTTCCTATTTTTCTACTGTTCATAATACTTTCAGAAAAAATGGTACCACCTCCTTTTTGTACCTCTAGTAGAATTCAGCTGTGAATCCATCCAGTCCTGGGCTTTTTTTGGTTGGCAGGCTATTAATTACTGCCTCAATTTCAGAACTTGTTATTGGTCCATTCAGGAATTCGACTTCTTCCTGGTTTAGTCTTAGGAGGGTGTATGTGTCAAGGAATTTACCCATTTCCTCTAGATTTTCTAGTTCATTTGTGTAGAGGTGTTTATAGTATTCTCTGGTGGTAGTTTGTATTTCTGTGGGATCAGTGGCAATATCCAAAAAGTTACTAATTTTTTAATTGAGTTTTACATCTATTCAAAGGTAATTGTTTCAAGGCTCATCTGGAAGAAGAAAATAAGATATGGCAAAAAGATTTAAAGCACATATTTTTGTTTTTTTCCTGGTACCCTTCAGTTGCTACTATAATAGCTGATAGGCTTTCTTGTTAAATCATTCTTTTTCTTAGTGAATAATTCTTCTTATTAAGTAATTTAAATACTCTTTGTTTCATTTTAGAGTAATTACAATGAGCTGGCACAAAAGGTATTTTTCAGGATGCTCATCATGCACTTATCAATAGAAAAGTAAAGTGTAAAAGGAATTCAGCAATGTGGTTCCTAAAGATACTTTATCATGTTCAAAAGTTGGACAGGAAAGAGTCGACTGCACTCTAGCAATGTGAGCTGATAAGGAAAATATTCTTTAAGAGATTACATTCTTTCTTCTCAATCACATTTAAATGAGTAAGTTTACAAGTAGAATGCTAGGCTAAGGGTCAGGGTGTTTCATGACCTGTTCCTTTTTCTGATAAATGTAAGATTAAGTTCCTGCCTTCATAAAAACTATTAAGTGGTTTTATGACATTTTCTTAATTCTGTGAGTATTTTATGTTTTAGTAAATATTGCCTTCACTTTAGGGGAAAAACATAAAGTGGACTCACATGGATTAGCAAGAATTCTGGCCTGAATAATGACAGTTGTGAATTATAGCAAATTTCTTAGACAAATGCAGTGATTTACTCTAAAGAACTGTTGACTGGATATGGAGTAGCAAAGCATTACCTGGGTGATTCTTGTAGGCTCTGATAGACAAAAAAATGAAAATGATTTCCAAATGACCTATCCTTAATATATGAATAACTGAATATTTCTGAAGTACTTTAAAATGCTTAAAAATTTCATATTTGCTTATGAAGTTTGAATATTTCTCTGAAATTTTGATTCAAACTTGTAAGGATATGTGTGTATGTGTGTGTGTATATGTGTCTATATACACACATACATATATAATCCTTCCAAGTTTATATATTCTCTCTATATATACATATATTACACACATACATATCTACACACATATGCATACACACACCCACACAAGCCATCACTTTACCATCAAGAAAACAAAAGCCTTTTATTTAATAACAGAACATATGTTCTTATTACCTTATTATTGTCTACCTCACCACATCTTTCTTGTAGTATTAATTTTCTTAGCAAAAACTATGTATAAATACAAAAAAAATATAAATTTCATTACCATTTCTGCCCATGTTATCTCAAATTCCTTTTCAGTGGTAACTTCTTTAAAAGAATAGTTTATTACATTATATGCCCATATATGTAAGGACAAAAATCAAAATATATTCAGTAATAGGCAGAGTATAAATACTACTAATAAACAATTAAAGAATAGTCTAAAGTGCTTTTACAAGATTGAGCTCCCTAAATGTATTTGTTTAAAAATTTTTGAAACTTCTTACTTCCTAAAGTAAAACCTAACTATTTTTTCAACTAGCTTTTAAGATCCACCAAGATAAAGCTCCAAATCACTTCCTGGATCTTACCTCCCAATGTTCACCTTAGACATTCTGGTAAAAGCGAAGAACTATCAAGCTTTGGTACACTATCCTTGCCTTTACTCAGGCTGTTTTTTCCAATTGATATGTATTTTTCCCATGTTTCAGTTTCTAAATTTGACTCATCATTCAAGGCTAAAATCAGGTGTTATTTCGCAATATTGAAGCTTTTCTTAATCCTTCTAGATAGATTTAAAAAAAAAATCCCTTTTCTCATCTAAACTCTCTTAATACCTTATATATGCATCTCATTTGCATAGTTATTTACAGGTGTTTTCCTTCACTGGCAAGACTGTAAAGTGTTAAAGGATAGGAGATAAGTTTAACTAACTTTTTTATCATCAGAAGGGCAAATAGAAAGTCCTTAACAAATACTCAGGGTTGAAATATGAACAAAGAAATAGATGCATAAATAAAGAGTTTACTTTAGTGATAAAGTTTACTTTAGTGACAAAAAGCAAAAATTCAATAGAGATGCTAAGGAAATGCTAATGTTATTATTTTCTGCACAGGAATTTTTTAGATTCTTAGAAGCAATAACTCCAGACTAAGTAATTTGCAAGATCAATGGCTTTCAAATCAGAGCTGTTGACTGAACCTTCACCAACACAATTATGAGTTTTCCAGTTAGTAGACACTCTTTTTTTTCATAGTAAGTGTACTCCTACCAACTGTTATGCCTTACCATGCCACCATTTCTGCCAAAAACAACACCTTCTACCAGTCCCCTGCTCCTCAGCTGTGCTGCTCCAAAACAATGTTTGCTCCTCATTAAAAATCTGCAAAGCCAACTGACCACACAGAGCCTAAACCAAGCTGGAAAAGAGACACATAAAATTTTATCTTGGTTACTCACACCACTTAGGGGTTGTACTGCTGCATCCCACACAATCTGCTGAGAGTCTTCTTAGGAGGTCGTAATAGCAGTCAAGCCATGTGATTGTGAGGGCTGCTACTGCTGTTACAAGGTTGTCGCAAAGTAAATAAATCACAACATTAATCAGTTGCAGCTTGTAAAGACCATGCAGCTGAAGAGGCACTTGTGCCACCTAACCCGTGTAAATTGGACCCATGGTTCTGGTCTATCTCCAAGGAATAAGCAAGGTTTTATAACCAGATGGGACTCTAAACAAAGAAATTGGCCACACTTCCTGTGGTGGGGTCGGGGGAGGGAGGAAGGACAGCATTAGGAGATATACCTAATGTAAATGACGAGTTAATAGGCGCAGCACACCAACACGGCACATGTATACATATGTAACAAACCTGCACGTTGTGCACATGTACCCTAGAACTTAAAGTATAATAATAAAAAATAAATAAATAAAAATTAAAAATTAAAAAAAAAAGAAATTGGCCATGGCTGCTGCATTATTGGCCTTCCCATTGGTCTGCTGTGACATGGAAAGACCAGGCACAAGAAGTTAAAGCAATCCAGATTGTTTGAGAAGTGAGGATGATTCAATATTATTAGATCCCCAGGCAAACTCACTGAATTTTGTGATTTTGCCTCTCTTCCATTTACACCATAGAAATCTGGTTATAACTGATGCCCTTTCATTCTCAAGGCTTAGCACTAACTACTATTAGAAAAGAAATGTATCAGCAATTTCAGAGCCCATTCCTCTTTTAAAATATGTCTGCTTAAAGGATGCATTTTCTTAACAATATAATTCACCCTTTGGTTTGGGGCAATGCTCAGAATTTGCCAGGGCCTTCAATATTCAAAATCTACAGAGATTCAAAAGTACTGAATTTAGTCTTCCACTCAAACATAACACATCTGACCTTCTTTCCTGAAAATACAAGAGAATAAGTCAGAGATTTCCCTCGCTACACAATATTAAGTATCAAGATAATGTTATCTGGTTGATCAACAGGCCCTGGTTGTGCTAGATTAACATGGACTATAAGAAAAGAATGGAAAATAGGTAAATACTGCTATGTGTCAGATCAGCCTGGACCATTAGCAATCCCAGGACATGTCCAGGACTACTAGGCTGTCATTTCAGGATAACCCCTCCCCACCTTTACCCTACTATATTGAGTGTGGATAGAATGCAATTTGCTTGACTCAAATATTAAAAAATAAAACTTGTAGATTTTAAATAAATGTATATTCAGAAAGAGGGGAGAGAGGAGAAAAGTAAGTGGAACAGTTATAGCTCAAATATGATATACTTTAGCATGGGTTGTATTTCTTAAGAGAGAGTAACTCTACTTCTTCAATGACATAAAGAATATTAAAAGTGTCAACATATGTAAAAATATAATAAATCCACCAGGTATTTAAAATTTTAATTAAAAATATTGAAAACAATGAAGTAAGGTGGCTAAAATGAATTTATCCATTCATACAAACTAACATATTTATAATTTTAGAGACCTATGGCCGGATGGCAATTTCTGAGATAAGTAATTTGCAAACGCTATTGGCATATTTCTAGGGTTAAACATCTATATTATTAATAAATGTCAATACTTAATATATAAGTGAAATATATATTTTTCCTTCATAATACAGATACACTTATGGAAAATTATGATTTATCTTTATAGAACTTGTCTTTTACCTGTGAACATTCCAAGTGTCATATATACACAGACACATATATAAACATATACATAGATACATATTTTACCTGTATAAAATATATTAACAGAATTGCTTAAAAATTTTATGTAAGAATATGAATTGTCATAATAGAGAAAAGAATTTTCATTAAATTACTTATACCTGAATTACTGTATGCATTTAACATAGAGTATAATTTTAAAAAGATTTAAGCAAAGTATTTTTTTTTTGAGAAGGAGTCTCGCTCTGTTGCCCAGGCTGGAGTGCAGTGGCGCGATCTCGGCTCACTGCAAGCTCCGCCTCCCGGGTTCATGCCATTCTCCTGCTTCAGCATCCCGAGTAGCTGGGACTACAGGCACCCACCACCACACCCGGCTAATTTTTTGTATTTTTAGTAGAGACGGGGTTTCACCATGTTAGCCAGGATGGTCTCCATCTCCTGACCTAGTGATCCGCCCGCCTCGGCCTCCCAAAGTGCTGGGATTACAGGCGTGAGCCACCGCGCCCGGCCTAAGAAAAGTATTAATGTCACAAATTATATAACAATCACATCTATTTATGCTGTCCTTACAAGGTATGCCAGTCCCAAATCTTCCTTAATAACCATGCTAACTTCATTAAAAGCAATTTTTCTCCTGTTTTTTAAGATAAATAATTTAAGGGTTTTCTACAAATATACTAACAAGATTTTAAAACTACATTCAAGTGTTTTCTTCCACAGCAAGATTCTTTATTCTAGAGGACAGACCAAACAATAACACATTTATTAATATGAAGCTTATTATTTTGTAATGAAACAAAAGTTAAAATTTTATGAGCACAATTTATATTTAAGCATTATGATAGTGATAGTGATCTCACTGTTAATATGATCATACAGTTTTAATTTCAACTGAGCTAAATTTTCTGGTTAATTCAAAAGACCTTAAGAATTTTTTAAGCCAATGGGGATAAAAGGAGGGAGAATGGGAGTCACTGCCCCTCTCAAACAAAAATGAATTATGTAAACACAGATTACTTAGTGTGGGAGAATATAGGAAAGATATCTCTGACTTTTCTCAGCTTGCCAGGTCTGTGTCTCTTCTATCATCAGCTTTATGCACAAAGCACCTTACAAATCATAATAAGATAACAGAGTAAATGCCATTTATGATTCATAATTACATAATTTTTTGGTCTGATATCCTTTCTCAGTCATTGAAAGAAATGGAAAAAACTACAATACTTTTGCACCAACCAAATATATGTGTGTATACTGACATTCACACTGGAATATATGTATTACATGTACATATTATAGGTGAGGAAAAGTTAGTTGTTTCAGTCACCAAGCCAATATTAATGAACACTGCCAAAAGTATTGGGAAATGTGTGTATGTGTGTGTACGTGCATGTGTGTGTGTACAGGCAGTTGGGATAGTGGTAAATGATACAGCATAAGCTTTTGATTTCATCTGAATGGTGAAACGCTTTTGTAGGATAGCTTTTCGCATGGAAAATCTCACCTAGCATCTTAGATGTCATGAATAGCAGAAATGAGGTTTTTTTCTCACTGTTTACATCCTATATCCATATACACATACCCATACATGCACATGTTGATAACTTAAGGAAGAAAGAAGTTAAAATGAGTTTAAACTAGCTCCACCATCTGCAAGTCACTAGTGAGGAGCAGAATGTTTTCATCAGTCATTATGGGTCAGATCTCAATGATTAAAAACCCCAAAGCTTCTCAAGGGTATAATTTCCTGGTTCTCCACCTGCACACTTCCCTGTGGACCTCATCACCCTTGACTCTAACTACATTCTGAAAAAGCAAGTAAATTCTCATTGAGAATCAGAGTTTAACAATACATGCAAAATGAAACTAGTCTTGTTCATAACCAGATAAACAGCACGAGATTTTATTTTAAAAAATCAAGAAAAAAATGTTTGCTTACTTTGGCTTATATGACTATCATTAACTGATTCCAAAATAATTATGTTAAGAAAACATAGAAATATTTTCTTGAGGTTTCACATCAGATATCATCATTGGAAGAGCAGTTGAGTTCCAGTGGTCTGAGAAGCTCAATTTGACTTTTGAATGCTTTGGGGTCAATAAAACCCCAGATGATTTAGGCCATCACACACCCCCTAGCTATGTAAATCTTTAAGCATGTCAAAGAAAATGTAATCCGCATAGGCTGATTCATTTACACTTAACTCATCAAAATAAGTGTTTGTAGGAGTTATTTGATGTTAAGAAAGTCCTCTTTATAAAAATGCTTGAAATCTATACTTTTCAGAAAGAGAATGTCATTTCAAGATTAAGCAATTCCTCTCTAACTCTACATTTTTACTGTTAGTTCAAAACTCAGAATATTTTTAGTTTCTAAGGGGAATGAATTTTCACTGAAGTAGTCTATCTTTCTCAGTCATAGCCAGATCACAGTGCTTTCTCTCTCTTGGTGCTTGTAATTCCACTGAGATGCCTCCATAATTACAAACAGTGCACTGTACTTGTTCTGAGACAAAACAGCCCTCCATGACTAAGGAATGTATAAAACAATGGATTGAAATAATCTTCCTAGACTTTTTATTTCTTCTTCAATGAATGTTGCTAACATTAGATATAAATGAAGTGAAATGTAGTAATGGTGGTAATTTTAAAAACAAATGTGGAAAAAGACCTAAAACTTCCCCTCAAAACTAATCTGGAAACATAAACATCAGCAGATGACTTTGATGTAAGATTCTATTGTAGGGCTTTATTTTGTTCTTGTTGTCAAATTAGACAGAATATAATGTTATTATCTATTTTGTCAACATTTATAACATGAAATAACAAATATGCATTTCTAGTTTCTTTGAAAAATTAATTTAGAACAGAATCTTAATGCAAAATGATATTTGATTTGATAACCATTTGAGAGTGCTGATTTTTACATTGTTGAAGTTATATGATATCTTGGAATAAACTGGTCATTGTATGAGCCATACATAGAATAAAAATAATAAAATTAAAAAGAATTATTCTGATGTTTTTGATACAATCTAAATCCTGCATAATTGAAACTTTTATGATTAATCTTGTTTTGTGTTGACACAACTAAGGTAATGTTAACATGTTAAGAAATTAGATAAGTTTCATAATTAACAATCATTGCTCCAGAAAAAGTATGGTGGAGTCATTAAGACAACAAAATGGTGCCAGACTACTTGCCTTTGAATCCCAGCTCTGCCACTTAATTAATTGCAGGGTGACTTTGGGCAAGTTACTTAAATTATTTGTGCCTGTTTCTATATCCATAAAAATGGAGACAATATGTATGTCTCAGGGTTGTTGTGAGGACTAAATGGATTAATATCTATAAAGTAGTTAGAACTCTAGCGATATAAACATTAGCTCTTATCCTATTTAACAGGAAAAATCAATTGTTTGAATTTGACATTTGACAATTTTCTTTCCCTATGCCTTTTTGCGTCCATTTCCTAATATGTAATATGGAATGTCTATTTTAAAGTCAAAAAGAAGTACTATGTACTTAATGTGTCCTGAAAATTAGGATTTTATCATCTAAAACTGATTAACAAAAGAAGCAGATTTAAACATAAATATAACAGGTTTTATGGTGTTGGCTTTCCAATCTTTTTCAGTTGGTTCTGCACTTTCTAATTCCAGCACTGGTCGCTCATCTCCACTTTAAGTCCTGATTTACAATAGTTTTTTATTTATGTAAATGTCCAACAGTTCCCTCCAGTGCTGCATATTTTCTGTGACCCTCACATTTGTATTCCCCAAGTTTGTGCCACTTTCCAATTATCTGAGTTCTTTTCATGTTGATATGATTTTTTTCTTTTGGCCTTTATTAATTTCTCCCATTTTTTTTCCTTGAAAATATCTATTTCTCTTCTTCCTCTGTGGTCTAGACATTCCCTTTATCTAGCTTATGCAAGTATCCTCTTAATTCTCTCCCTGCCATCCAATCCTCTCTTTCAAATTAGTCTGTCCACCACTGCCAGACTTACCTCCTTATAACACTGTCTTCCTTATTTGATCATTACTCTCTGTATTCTTCAATACTAGGTTCAAAGCCTTTTGACCAGTTTTCAGTGTCTCTATTATCTGAATCCAGTAAACTCATTCAATATGTTTATGCTTCTTGAATTGAGATACGTTTCTTCTAACAGCAGAACACATCCTACTCATTCCTACATTTTTGTTGATTTTTCTATCCCAATATGACTCTCTCGCATTTCACTTCCATACATTTACATCTTAAATATTTTAAGGTATATATCAAGTTTCCACTCTCTCCAGAAATTGTTTTTGACCATTCTGACCACTCTGATCTTTCCCTTCTAGGAGTTACTATGGCACTTAGCATCAATGCTAAGAATTTAATATTTTGTAATGTGTCAGTTACTTTACCCAGAAATCAAGAACTAGACCATATCCTCTTGAGGCCTGACACAATCCACACATTGCTCATCAGAGCCCTAGGCATATAATGCCTAGGCAAGAAGCATTTATTACAAGATTAATTGATTAGTAATTTAAAATGTACACGATTTTATAAATAACTTTATAAATGCTAGCATTTAAATTTCACACTTATGAAGCAAATTTAGTAAACAACCCTCTAGCAGTTTCTTTACTCACTCTTACCAGGTCCTCATCATATACTTCAAATAGTTTTTCTTTATTCCAGTTTATGTTCTCTACACCACCAGCCCAGACTTTTGGAACCAGTGATTCTGTATTGGTTTTCATACATGGTCTCAGTCAACTGTTCTCTTTCCTTTTTAGTATCATAATACAGACTTGTAAAGATAATACAAGGCATTAATACAATAATGAAAGTGAAATGTCAGATTTGGCCATCTTTGTGGTTATTCTGAAGTCAAGAAGAGTTCAAGTAGTCATCACTTGGAGTGAAAATCCAGTTCGAATGGGTAACTTCAAAAAAAAATTAGTGTCTTAATTTCCCATTAATATTCAAGATTCCCCATGGTTTCATAGTGTTATATGAGTGTGAGAAAGTTATTGCTGTCTGTATTGGTTACTTTACTTGTATACATAATTAATTAGGTTTGTAAATATAAAAATAATAATTGAAATATTTTTAAAACTAATAGTAAATTGACTAATGGTTAACTTTTGGGTTTAATCATGATATTCAAATTCTTCACAGTCAAAATTTTTCTGAATCTGGCCCTACCTTATCCTTCTCAATTAATCTATCATCGTAACCTAAACAAAAGTCCTATTTCCAGTCCAGTTTCCTCACTGCCTCTTGAACTCAAGCCTGTAGTCCCCTTCTGGAGTTCCCTTTACACTCAAAACCGTTTATCCCAATTCAGATTTACATTTCTGCTTTATCCCCATCTAGCTACTTACTTCTCTATTTATCTTCTCTCATTTTAATTTTTAGAAAATATACTAAATAAAATATAATTTTATAATTAATTGCATGTCTGTTTTGTTAGTTAATGTTTCAAACACATACCTATTTTATCTGTATCTAGATTGTAAGCATGTAACATTTACAGACCATATATTAACTTTTTAAAATTAAGCAATTAACTTCCTGGCATGGACACTGTATGTAATTCATGCTGAATAATTTCTTTTGGATAATAAAACAATAAATGATTTTGCATATTTTAATAACTGTCATAAAGGAAATTAAACATTAGGCATTAAATTTTTTAAAGATCTATAATCCAAGAGATTGCTAATTGTTCTTGCTCATTATATGTTCATCATATACTATTTTAAGTCTACTTCAGTAATAACATAAGTAATAATAATTGTAATAATAAGAACTAGCATTGAATGAGTGCTTAGTATGTTTCTAGGCACCCTTCTAATCGTCTTACGGATTCACTAATATAATTCTCATAACACCTCATAAAATAGACATTACCAATATCTCAGTTTTACAGAAGAGAAAACTAAAGCTAAGAGAGGCTAAATAATTTGCTTCAGATTCCACAGAACTAGAGGTCAACAACAGTCACAAACATTTACTTCTTATCTATCACCTGCCAGGAATTCCTCAGGTGGCTTTATTTTTCAATATCATACTAATAGGTATTAGCATATTTTATTTATAGACATAAATTGGTAGTTTATGTGATACTTTTGATACAAAGCCACTAAACACTCTTCTTATAAGTATACCTGTGATATAGTATCATTTTCTTTTATCAGGTTTGTTTGGTAGTCAGGTCATATTTATGATTATCAATGCATTTAACTCCATAAAACCAGCTGAAAATAAAATCTAAGGGTTGCAGTGTAGGGTAACCCACAAGACTGACAGCATATGTTTAGGACCACCAGGGAAACAAGATCTTCCAAAAATATTTTGATGTTTGTTATTTCAAAAAAGGTATGGCATGGATATAATAAAAATATATATGTAGGACATTCTTACAAATAATCTTTTTTTTTTTTTTTTTGAGACGGAGTCTCACTGTCGCCCAGGCTAGAGTGCAATGTCACGATCCCAGCTCACTGCAACCTCTGCCTCCTGAGTTCAAGCGATTCTCCTGCCTCAGCCTCCCGAGTAGCTGGGATTATAGGCATATGCCACCACACCTGGCTAATTTTTGCATTTTTAGTAGAGACAGGGTTTCGCCATATTGGCCAGGCTGGTTTTGAACTACTGACCTCAGGTGATCCGCCCCCCTTGGCCTCCCAAAATGCTTGGATTACAGGCATAAGCCACCACGCTTGGCCCTAATCTTTACTAGTATTATTAGTATTATTATTACTACTATTACTATAATTAAGAGACATGGTCTCGCTATGATGCCCAGGCTGGTCTCGAACTCCTGAGCTCAAATGATCCACTGGCCTCAGCCTCCCAAAGTGCTTGAATTACACTCATGAGCCATGGTGCCTGACCCTTCTTATAACTAACATGTGTTTTAGTATTTGTATACTTGCATCGAATGTCTCAATTCTTCATTCTTCACTGTCTCCATACTCTGTGACTTCAGATTCTCCCACTGAGGGGGCAGAGTATATTTTTCTACTTTTTGGCTTCAGATTTAGCCACCAGGCTTGCTTTGGT
Organism: Homo sapiens; assembly: GCF_000001405.40. Classification (NCBI taxonomy): domain Eukaryota; kingdom Metazoa; phylum Chordata; class Mammalia; order Primates; family Hominidae; genus Homo; species Homo sapiens. Next base: position 111,546,850 of record NC_000004.12, read on the forward strand.
CAAATGAATGAGACAAGACTGATGGGCCAGGCCTTAAGAGTCCTTTCTTGTTCCATGGATCCTTCTTAGGTTTCTGCCATCAACTTAAAAATAAGAAGCTTGGGCTAGCCTGCTGGTCCCAGAAGAAGCATGAGAAATACATGGAGCCTAGCTGAACTGGTCACATGGAGCCCTATCTAGATCATCTGGGTTCAACTTAACACACTTGAGCAGTGCCAGCTGAAATTGGCAGAGCCACGCAGCTGCACCAGGCTTAAATCAGCTGACCTCCAGCTGTCTGGATAAACATCTAAATAAATACTGAATGTGGCTGGCTGATGAGGTTTTATGGTAGTTTCCTACACAGCATGATCAATGGTATTGTTCTTACTGGAAATTGCATAATGGTTTATGGGTGTAGGACCACGACATTTTCACTGTCTAGGGCTCCAAGGGATCTTAATGTGAGGCTTTAGGATGCTAAATCGGATTGGTCTTCAGTGTAAACGCAGAAAGCTTTTAAAATGTGTTTCCTTGTGTATGTGTTCTGTTGGTTTCATTTCATGGGGAGGAGGGATAGTTTTCTGATACTTAGTTGAAAAATTCGACATAAAGGACAGTGCATTGAGGTAAGGATGGAAGTATGTGAAAAGTGACATTTTGGGTATCATTTGTCTTTTTACAGCCTTTAGATTAAATGCCTGTTCTTGTGAAGTGTTCCTGCCTTTTCAAATCTAGATTTATAGTCCTCTCAAGTATTTCTTTTCAGAGTATGGTCCTCTTTATTCCCTAAGGTAGCCTGTATACTTCTTTTCTTGTCTGTAGACTCTTCTAGACTATGATGCTTATGAGGGGAAGATACATGTGTGTCTTGTTCACTGCTAAATCTTGAACCCTAATTATACTTCCAGTTACATAAGTGGCCTTCTATAAATAATTGTTACTGTGATGTGATGTAGACTTTCCCTGGTAAAATATATATTCTTTAATTTGCCCTTTGCTAAAAAAAATCATTTTAGATATTTTGTCCTATGATAAAATTACTTTATGACAAAGATTATATTTTTCTTTTCCAAAGTGGCCTTTATTAATATTATAGTTTTAAAGAGATTGTGACAACATTCTGAAAATATAAATATTTAGACAATAGCAAGTAAAAGTTTCTCTTATACATCCTCAGTCTTTTTCCTGGAGAGAAACACATTTAACCACTTTTGTTTTTTTTTCTCTTAGTAGTTATTTAAATAATTCAAAATAGTATGCTTATGCCTTCATTTCCAAATATTTCAATTTAAATATTATCAGTAGTTTCACCTGCATTAAAAAGTGATGAATTTTACTCCCTTACACTACTACATTCCTTCTAAAAAAAGTATGCAGACACTTTTTACTTTTCATTTTTACTTCAGTATTTATAATCTTAAATAATGTATGATAACCTCTATTTCTTGATATTACTTCAGATATTTCCTGACTTTGTAATACATAAGATGTAAATGACAGATTATATCAGTTCTAAAAGGCAAAATTCTATCAGTATTAAAGCAGAAAGTCAGAAGCTCTGAAATGAATATTCTCAGAAACAAGTAGATTCAATTAGCAACTGATATAATTAAGGAATAATGTGTTTGATAGAGTATAGCTATATACTTCTTTTTGTAAATGGGATAAAACAAAGATAATTAGAAATTTCAGAAGAAAAAAATGTCTACTAACATCAAGTGCCAAATATACATTTCCTAATCAATGGGTCTGACCAAATAAACTTAGTTCTAATATAAATACATCTTTATAATGATTTTTTTGAACTCTGGTTATTTTTGGCATCATCTCATAAATATTTGCAATATGAAAAGTGATACCACTTAGAATATCAAATTATAATATAAAGGTAATGCTATGTCAGAAAGAAGGAACCAAGACAAGGAGAAATAGAGAAGAAGAGGGACAGCGGTAAAAATAATTTTTATCAAGAGTAGTAAAAGACATTTTAATTAAAAATTAAATCAATTTTCAACAAATAGATTTGGAAAGATTTTTAGGAGTTAATACTTTAACAAGATTGTGAAGAAAGGATGTCTCATCCACTGATGGAATTTGCATACTTAGTACAATATTTATGGGGTGTAATTTCAAAATATGTATGGATAAACACATTTTATTCTTAGTAACCCATAACAAGGACATAATCTAAACCATAAATGTTAATGCATTAAATTCTTTCAGACTTCATTGGGACAAAAACACAACTAAATTACATACATCATATGATATTAACTACATACAGCTAGGTAGGAATATAGTGGGAAGCTTTGTAAGTGATAGTTCATGTTAACTGTTTCTTTTTTTAAAAGAATTTTCGTTGTAACTTAAACCTTTAATTAAGATTCAGAGTCAATACATATATTTTTACAAATTTATTGCCATAATATTATAAGTGATTGATATACTTTCAGTTAAGCATAGCTGTACACCTACAACCATCTGATCTTCAACAAAGGTGACAAAGACAATCAGTGGGGAAAGAACTCCCTATTTAATAAATGTTGCTTTGATAGCTGACTAGCCATATGCAGAAGATTAAAGCTGGATCCCTTCCTTACACCATATACAAAAATCAACTCAAGATGGATTAAAGACTTAAGTGTAAAACCTAAAACTATAAAAACCCTTGAAGAAAACCACCTAGGAAATACCATTCTAGACATACACCCTGGCAGAGATTTTATGACGAAGATGCCAAAAGCAATTGCAACAAAAACAAAAATTGACAAACCAAATCTAATTAAACTAAAGAGCTTCTGCACAGCAGAAGAAGCTATCAACAAATAGATGGCCCACAGAAAGGGAGAAAATGTTTGCAAACAATGCATATGACAAAAGTCTGATGTCCAAAATCTATAAGGAACTTAAACAAATCAACAAGCAAAAAAAAAAAAAAAACCATTAAAAAGTAGGCAAAGGACATAAACAGACACTTTTCATAAGAAGACAGACATATGGCCAACAAGGATATGAAAAATGCTCAACATCACTAATAATTAGAGAAATGCAAATCAAAACCACAATAAGATATCATCTCACACCATTCAGTATGTCTATTATTAAAAAGTCAAAAAATTACAGATGCTGGCAAGGTTGCAAATAAAGGGAAACACTTATACATTGCTGATGGAAATGTAAATTAGTTCAGCTACTGTGGAAAGCAGTTTGGCAATTTTTCAAAGAACTTAGAACTACCATTCAACCCAGCAATTTTATTATTGCGTATATACCCAAAGGAATATAAACTGTTCGGCTATAAATAGACATGCACACATATGTTTATAGCAGCACTATTTACAATAGCACAGACACCATATCAACCTAAATGTCCATCAATGGTAGATTGGATAAAGAAAATGTGGTACATAACACACCACAGACTACTATGCAGCCATAAAAAAGAACAAGATCATGTTCTTTTTAGCAACATGGATGGAGCTAGAGACCATTATCCTAAGCAAACTAACACAGGAACAGAAAACCAAACACCATGTGTTCTTACTTATAAGGGCGAGCTAAACATTAAGTACACATGGACACCAAGAAGAGAACAACAGACACTGGGGCCTACTTGAGGATGGAGAGTAGGAGGAGGGTGAGGTTTAAAAAACTACTTGTCAAGTATTATATGCTTATTATCTGCGTGATGAAATAATCTGTACACCAAAACCCCAAGACACGCAATTTATCTATAGAACCAACATGCACATGTACCCCCAAAACTAAAATAAATTTTCTAAAATATTAAATATAATTTATTTTAGAAAAGAGAAGTTCTAGAGGAGAGACATTAAATTAAAATAAGTAGTAACCACATGTTTTAACACTTCTGAATTAATTTAAAATGTCCTAAAAAATTACTTAAGGTAATTATTAGCAGATCCAAATGACTTCTAACCTTCTAAATAAACTCTCCTAAATGAATGCATAAATGCTCAAATTTATGGCAATTAGTACATTTTAGTTAACCAGAAGAATTTTTCATAATTTTATGCCATAGTCATACATGAATTATGCTGGGAAATTGGATCTCCATAGGTTAAGTTAGGAATTCCAATCTTAAAATATCCTACATCTCTCTTCAAATGCCAACACTACCAGTATTATTCATCTATTCATACATATATGCGTGCATCTGTGGCATGTAAATATATGTATATAAATCTATGTAGTCTGGGTATCAATTAAATGTAGCAAACAGCAACCAACCATAATTTGGAACAAAATAAGATACTGCTACTCTGTCACTGAAGTAGACAAGACCTCATTTTTACTTTATATTTATAAAAATTTAATAATTACCAATAGTTAGCACTTGGTAACTTGTCTTATAAACATAACGAGTGTTAATAATCAAAAATTATCATTGTTTACTGATGTTCTCTTTTGTCCTGACAGTCCTGACATTCCTGACATTGGATGACTGAGACTACCCAACTATGACACGCAAGCAGTGTGTAAGACGAGAACAGGTGCCTGCAGACCTGATATCGTTTCAGTGTCTTCAGAACTTTATAAAACCTTTTTTTGAAAACTTACATTCTTTTAACAGCACTATTTTCAAGAGCATGCGTTCCTTTTATGAGGATTCATGTTTGGAAATTAATCCATGTCATGGACCATTCCACTAAATTAATTTTAAATCTAGGTTTTAAGAAGCACAATATAGTGGAAGATGTAATAGTGGAAGTGTGGACCCTAAGTTTCTATACTGTGTGATTTTTAGTCTCTTAGAACTCATGAAACATCATTCCGTTGTTTTTAAAGAATGGGAAGGCAAATCAGGGTGTCATCTGGTCTCAGTTCTCTTTGAAAGTCCAGGGGAGATATTTTATTCCTTGCTACGATGTCAAAAGAATTAAAAAGTAGCTACTCTATAGAAAAATAAATGTACATCCTGATATTAAGTGAACTTCAAATGTTTTAAACTATAAATTATACAATTGAGAGTAATAACAGTGCTGATAGTACTCCACAAACATGGCGAACATTCCAAAAACCCGCCAGACTTTCTGTACGAAGTGTGCAAGCACCAACCCCAGAAAATGACACGGTACAAGAAGAGCAAGGATTTTCTGTATGCCCAGGGAAAGCAGCGTTATGACAGGAAGCAGAGTGGCTATGGTGGGCAGACTAAGCCAATTTTCCAGAAAAAGACTAAAACTACAAAGAAGATTGGGCCAAGGCTTGAGTGCATAGAGCCCAACTGCCGATCTAAGAGAATGCTGGCTATTAAATGATGCAAGTATTTTGAACTGGGAGGAGATAAGGAGAGAAAGGGCCAAGTAATCCAGTTCTGCCATCATCTTTTGTTTTATTATGAAGAAAATAAAATGTTGAATTTGTATTTAAAAAGAGAAAGTAATAACAGTTAAGAAACTATATAATTTTAGAAAATTATTCCACAAGATATAGATTTATATATTCCATTTTATTTTTCTAGGAGTCATTTATAAACCTAGTGTCTCTTCATTTTTTTATGTCTAGTTTTGACTTTAACACTGGCTTAATCATATTCATGAGTAGCTGTCATTCATTAGGCAGGTACTTCTGAAGCAATGCAAATTCAAAGTAGAGGATTGGTAAAAATCAGAGAATGCTTTATAAAGTTCTCTCTGCAGTTTAAAGAACTGAAGGTCAGAAGACTAAATGATATTTCAGAGTCACACAGCATGTAACTAGAATTGTTCTCTTCTGATGTCAACCTTAGTACATGTCATATTATGAGAATACACACTTAAATTCCATGATCCCAAAAGAAAAAGTTTTCAGAAACCACTTAAAAATCTCCTCCATTTACACTGAAAAACAAAAAGACATAAATCTGAGTAAAGCTCAAATTTTAACTGCTCCAATGCAACTGGAAAATGTTTATAGAATTTTTGCATTTTTAACTATTTTACAGAAATTGCTACAACAGGAATATATTTGAAACAGGAAGAGAGTTTACTGGATTTTTTTCCAACAGCTTTATTGGGATGTGATTCATATACCATAAAATGTATCATTTTAAAGTTGATAATTCAGTGTTGTTATTAGATTTTAATAGTTACTGGTAAATTGCAATATTGCACGTGGTTTTAAAATGCTGCAAATATTTTTAAAAAACGAGAAGGAAAGCAGAACTCTGGGTGATGAATATATGCAGTAAAGAGATTCTCAGTTATTGAGAGAAGTTGTATATTCATAGAGGAGATGGACAGTTTCAGATTAAGTACTTATATATCTCAATGTCCTAAAAAATGAGAAGATGCTTATGATATAATGATAATGACAAACAACTTTATATAAAGAAATATTTTTAAAAACTGGAATGCCTTTGTTTAAATATTAACAAGGCCTATTTCTCAGCTGTAAGAACAAAAGGGTTTTAGATATTTTTTCAACTTTGCTATATTTTCTACATTGATCCACACCTTTTAATAATCAGAAAAAAAATACTAAAATGTGCGGTCCCGTCAGTCTTACAAAAAAAATTACTTTGTTTTCATTTTCCTTCCACTCGCCATGTAAACCTTTTCAAAAACAGAATTATGTAATATATCATAATTTCACCTTGTTCGGAAAGATGCAGTAACTAGACAGAAATTGAAAGGCCATGGCCTTCACAATGATGCCACTTTCCATTTGCAAATGTGTCCCCTAGTTGTTCTTCCAGTGATTTAGCTCTTAGCTTCAAACAATTTTAACATTGTTCTCTGACTGAACAAATCCAATAAACTCTATACTATAAATATTTTTTTCAGGTATCCCTCCCTCATCTACCTTCCACCTATTTGCCCAGGTTCAATCCTCACTTTAGCTTCAAGATCCAATCTCGTCTTTTCCTTCCCTATCTAAGCACGTCCATATAACATTCTCTCTTCTCTGAATCCCTGTAGTATTTGTGTCTATATCTCTTATTTTGGCACTAAATTAGGTAGAATAACTTTGCACTGTTTTTTAAGTCCTGCATTCACTCTGTGTCATTTCTTCACTTGACCATAAGCAATTTAAAAGTTTGAATTCATCCTTTTCATTAACAGGTATATATCTATGTAGAGATACTCAATAAGAACTTGTTGATTTAATCAGTGGGTATGAGTTAATTAATTTTAGAAGTATCATAACTGGTACATGGGGAGAAAAGAGAAAGCTATACTGGGGGGAAAAAATCTGGAGGAAGACCCCCAGGGACTAATAAAGCTTTGGGTGATTAGATGGCCACATTTACAAAACAAAATCAAAAGAGAAGAATACATATACCAATGAAAACTAGGTTTTTAAAAATGTATCCACCAGTAAGCGTCCACGAACTGGATTTTTAACCAGAAGAAAGTCCAAGGAAAAAAGTGGGCAGAGAGAAGAGAACAGGAGTGTTAAGTACTATTAACCAAAGTCAAACCAAAACTCAATGCCCACGTCCTTTCGATCAAAAGTAAGATAATCAACTAGTAGAGATGAATCAGGCAAATAATGGAAGTGCTCTGAGAATACTTTTAGAGCGGTGAAGGTTCAATAATAATTGTGGGGCCTCTAATTACTAAAAGACTTGGGGCTAAAGCAGAAGATCCTGTCACTGAAAACTTGTATATGGTGCAGAAATTCAATTATGGGGACCACAGCAGCAAGGCCAGAATGTCAAGTAATACATTCAATATCCTCCCAAACTAGAGCCAAAATTTATTTAGAAGGTTTAGGTTGAAGCTTAGACTGCAGTTGGGGAACAAGTAGAGCTAGTTTCTATGACAGGACTGGAGAAATATTAAAACCATTAGAGAGAGCTCTCACCGGCCAATTTTAAATGGACAAATTTATCTTGTTTCTACATTCTGTAGCAAATGTTTTGGTGTTTTCCTTTGCCGCACTCTCTAATATCTGAATCTAAAGTAGAATAGCGCAGTATCTAAAAACAGTTGGAATTAATTCATTCTGAGAAAAGCATCTTGAGAGATTTTCCTATAGTATATTCTTAGATTTGGAGATTTTTCCAAATTCCTGTTTTTGCTAAAATAGAATATTTTGTTGTCACTCTAATTCTGAAAGTAATTCATAGTCTTCTAATGCATTTCTTTTTGTGAAGGTACCTAGATTTGGACAAATTTGAAACAATATCACCAATTCATGTGTAATCCTAACACACAATGTCAAATAAGTCCATTATTACCAGTGTTTAGATTTATATGTTTGTGTGACTAGACAATATTATTAATTTTTGTCAAATGCCATTTCTAATTTTGTATTAGAGGATAGTAGTAAACATTAACTTTGTACGCCAGTTATTCTGAACAGTATTTTTTTCATATAAATGTGTTTTATATCTGTGTCTTTGTGCTTAAAAATGCTTTACACACAGTGAGACTTTGATAAATGATTTTTTGAATTAATGTGTTTCTTCACAGTTATTATTAAATACTTCACCTTTCCATTGAATCCAGTCATAATTTATGTTTCTGAGAATTTAAATAATGCAGGGACTTTTAATTTAAAAAGTGTGACTCATCCACTGAAGAGTTATGAATATACTCTCAAAGCAAAATGTTAGTCATATTTAAAAAGAAAATTATATGTGAGGTGCTGAAAATAATCTAAAAACTGATTATCAAAAATTAGACTGCCAGTTAGAAACTTTGATGGCAAAGTCCATATGCACAATATATATGCTTGTTCACCTGAAAGGAAGTGCCAATGATGTGGGTCTTCCACATTCAGAGGTGTGCCTCCTGTACACACACTCACTCTCCTGCCTTCAGTTCCTTAGTTTAAGAACAGGGAACTGTGAGTAGCAGCACTCTGGCTGATATTAATTGCCATGACCAGGGAAAGAGGCAATTTATCGGATAACTGGGTCCCAAGCCATACAGGGCCTTAGAGATTAAAATGATCACCTTGAATTGCACTCAGAAGCTAAAAGGCAATCAGCGCAGACAGCAGAGCACAGGTGTAACCTGCTTCCTGTAGCCAATCTAGTTAAGCAAGCGGACCACAGCATTTTCAGGGTCTGAAGCTTCGGATGCTTCCGAGTGGTCTCTGAAGTGTTGTTCCACACAAAGCTTGGAGCTTGAATTGAATACAAATTTTTCATGTGTTTCAGGATTTCTCCTGGAAGAAATGATTTTTAAAGAGAAAACTAATGAAATAGACTCCATAGAATTTGTTAAAATCAAAGGGCACTAGTAAAATAAAATGTGCTCTTGAAATGATGAGCAAGGAGTTTTTAAAAATTAGGCCCAACACATCTGTAAGTTCTTTTAATATTCACGCTCCCTTCTCAAACTGGAAAATCACTGGAGACATTCATGTGCTGACTATTTCCACCCAGAGTTCATCCTCACTTTTTAACGTAGGAAATACTATTTACTATCACAATTGAAGTCAGAGCTAAACAAACTCATTTAATAATGAAAGCATGTGGAAAGGCTTCCACAAGGGCATGGGGTCCTTCTAATATCCAGGGGTCAGTGTAAGAATCACATTGGATAAACACCAGAGAATGGCTCATGGTTTAAGTATCAGGTTCGACATTTTGAGACTCCTTTGGACATTTGGTTTAAATTCCCTTGTGGTTAGGACAGACTTTCAGTGGTAGATAAACTCAATTTTTGCAATGAACTGTGTTTTTCCCTTTATGATTTGCTGTTCTGTGCCTCCCGGCTCTACTTCAGTAGTACAAGAAAGTCCCATATGTACCTGTATCTTTTAGTAACAGCAATAGGAAGAAATGCCAATGTTCTTACCCATCTACCTTCAAGTTGAAACCCACAGACAAGACAAAGTGTTCCACAGAACCGGTTTCTATGCATAGAAAATGAAAGTAGAAAGTTTCATTTTTTATATTCAAAACTATCAACGCAAATGATTTTATTGAAATATGATTTATTTTTCTAGTGCTCCTTAATATTTAATGACATCTAGATATCAAAGAGGAGTTCCTGATTATTTCTTTAAAACTTTAAACTGCAAATTAACATATAATTAATGAAAGTAGGAGCAACCAATAGTGAAGTACCTACTGTTAGAAGGACTTCTTTCATTTAGTCCTTAGATGATGCAAAGGGTCAAAATTTGCAAAATACAGAAGAAAGATGTAAAACAAACCAGCTACCATAGAATGCTGGTGGCCTGAACATATAAATCTTTGCCAAAAAATGCTTTAGTTATTAACGCTTCTGAAAGAAACTGTCATTATGAAATATCAGAGGTAGAGTCAAGATGCTTGCCAAATTATCATCCTATGTGGTAATTTCCAAGTTACTCAGAAATGACTAAAGATGATTAATATTTGAATCATTATTATCAATAACATATATTTAAATTGTTCTTGTATTTAAATTTTGCAACTTGATTAACTTAACCTAACAATTGGAATTCTTCAAGTACAGTTTACATTAAAATGTAATCTAATACTTATTCACTCTCTTTCACTGCTCTATTAGATTGGTCTTTGATTTCTTACCAGCTTTAGAGCTAAGTGTACTCTTTCCTTAACTTATATTTATCTAGGAGATTTATCTATTTGTCTAGAAGACTTCAGCTTTTTTATAATGCTGTCATGACAAAAGCTTAAACTTAGGGGAAAGAAAACAATTTTCTGTGGGTCTTTTCTCATTGACTAATAAGAGCCAGCAGAGAGAAATGAAAATATTAAGGTTCGGGCTTTCTTCAATAATCTTAAATAAGAAAAAAATATGTACAATGAAAAATGACATTTTCAGTGGTATACAAAGTTCTATAGAATTTCTAACTACTTAGTCACTTGATTTTAAATTTTATTAATGTAATACCATATGGATTAATACGCTAAAGCTGGTAAGAGTTTAAATGTTTTAATAAATTGAAGCTCATTGTGAATGCCTGTGTTGAGATTATGTGGAAAAATAGTCAACAGTACTAACCAGAGAAATAAAAATAAAAACCACGATGAGATGGCACCTCACCCCAGATAGAATGGCTATTAGCAAAAAGACCAAAAAAAAAAAAAAAATGTTGGCAAGGATGTGGAAAAAAAAGGGAACTCTTGTACATTGTTGGTGGGAATGTAAATTAGTAAAGGCATTATTATGGAAACAGCATCAAAGTTCCTTAAAAAATTAAAAATAGGGTTATATATCTGTTTTGGTACCAGCACCATGATGTTTTGGTTACTGTAGACTTCTAGTATAGTTTGAAATCAGGTAGCATGATGCCTCCAGCTGTTCTTTTTGCTTAGGATTGTCTTGGCTATACAGGATCTTTTTGGATCCATATAAATTTAAAGTAGTTTTTTCTAATTCTGTGAAGAAAGTCAATGGTAGCTTGCTGGGGATAGCATTGAATCTATAAATTACTTTGGGCAGTGTGGCCATTTTCACGATATTTATTCTTCCTATCCATGAGCATGGAATGTTTTTCCATTTGTTTGTGTCCTTTCTTATTTCCTTGAGCAGTGGTTTGTAGTTTTCCTTGAAGAGGCCCTTCACATCCCTTGTAAGTTGTATTCCTAGGCATTTTATTCTTTTTGTAGCAATTGTGAATGGGGGTCACTCATGATTTGGCTGTTTGTCTATTATTGGTGTGTAGGAATGCTTGTGGTTTTTGCACATTGATTTTGTATCCTGAGACTTTGCTGAAGTTGCTTATCAGCTTAAAGAGATTTTGGGCTAAGACGATGGGGATTTTAAATATACAATCATTTCATCTGCAAACAGAGACAATTTGATTTCCTCTCTTTCTAATTTGAATACCCTTTATTTCTTTCTCTTGCCTGACTGCCCTGGCCAGAACTTCCAGTACTATGTTGGATAGGAGTGGTGAGAGAGGGCATCTTTGTCTTGTGCCAGTTTTCAAAGGGAACGCTTCCAGCTTTTGCCTATTCAGTGTGATAACTGTGGGTTTGTCATAAATAGCTCTTATTATTTTGAGATACGTTCCATCAATACCTAGTTTACTGAGAGTTTTTAGCAAGAAGGGGTGTTGAATTTTATCAAAGGCCTTTTCTGCATCTGTTGAGATAATCAGGTGGTTTTTGTCATTGGTTCTGTTTATGTGATGGATTACATTTATTGATTTGCATATGTTGAACCATCCTTGCATCCCAGAGATGAAGCCAACTTGATTGTAGTGGATAAGCTTTTTGATGTGCTGCTGGATTCAGTTTGCCAGTATTTTATTGAGGATTTTTACATTGATGTTTATGAGGGATACTGGCCTAAAATTTTCTTTTTTTGTTGTGTTTTCCAGGTTTTGGTATCAGGATGATGCTGGCTTCATAAAATGAGTTTTGGAGAAGTCCCTCTTTTTCTATTGCTTGGAATAATTTCAGAAGGAATGGTACCAACTCCTCTTTGTATCTCTGGTAGAATTCAGCTGTGAATCCATCTGATCCTGGGCTTTTTTTTTTTTTTTTTTTTGCTTAATAAGCTATTAATTACTGCCTCAATTTCAGAACTTGTTATTGTTCAACTTCTTCCTGGTTTAGTCTTGGTGTCAATTTTAGATCTTTTCTGCTTTCTCCTGTGGGCATTTAGTGCTATAAATTTCCCTCTAAACACTGTTTTGGCTGTGTCCCAGAGATTCTGGTACATTGTGTTTTTCTTCTCATTGGTTTCAATGAACTCATTTATTTCTGTCTTAATTTCGTTATTTACCCAATAGTCATTCAGGAGCAAGTTGTTCAATTTCCATGTAGTTGTGTGGTTTTGAGTGAGTTTCTCAATCCTGAGTTCTAATTTGATTGCACTGTGGTCTGAGAGACAGTTTGTTATGATTTCCATTCTTTTGCATTTGCTGAGGAGTATTTTAGAATAAGTGCAATGTGGTACTGAGAAAAATGTATATTCTGTTGATTTGGGGTGAGGAGTTCTGTAGATGTCTATTAGGTGCACTTGGTACAGAACTGAGTTCAAGTCCTGAATAGCCTTATTAATTTTCTGTCTCGTTGATCTGTCTAATATTGACCGTGGGGTGATAAAGTCTCTCATTATTACTGCGTGGAAAACAGAGGCCTCAGAAATAATTCAACACATCTACAACCATCTGCTCTTTGACAAACCTGACAAAAACAGGCAATGGGGAAAGGATTCCCTACTTAATAAATGGTGCTGGGAAAACTGGCTAGCCATATGCAGTAAACTGAAACTGGACCCCTTCCTTACATCTTTTACAAAAATTAACTCAAGATGGATTAAAGACTTAAATGTTAAGACCTAAAACCATAAAAACCCTAGAAGGAAACCTAGGCAATACCATTCAGGACATAGGCATGGACAAAGACTTCATGACTAAAACACCAAAAGCAATTGCAACAAAAGCCAATATTGATAAATGGGATATAATTAAACTAAAGAGCTTTTGCACAGCAAAAGAAACTATCATCAGAGTGAACAGGCAACCTACAAAATGGGAGAAAATTTTTGCAATCTATCCATCTGTCAAAGGGCTAGTATCCAGAATCTACAAGAAACTTAAACAAATTTACAAGAAAACAACAAACAACCCCATCAAAAAGTGTGCAAAGGATATGAACAGACACTTATCAAAAGAAGACATTTATGCGGCCAACAAACATGTGAAAAAAGCTGATTATCACTGGTAATTAGAGAAATGCAAATCGAAACCACAATGACACACCATCTCATGCCAGTTAGAAGTACAATCATTAAAAAGTCAGGAAACAACAGATGCTGGCGAGGATGTGGAGAAATAGGAATGCTTTTACACTGTTGGTGGGAGGTGTAAATTAGCTCAACCATTGTGGAAGACAGTGTGGCGATTGATTCCTCAAGGATCTAGAACCAGAAATACCATTTGACCCAGCAATCCCATTACTGGGTATATACCCAAAAGATTATAAATCGTTCTACTATAAAGACACAGGCACACATATGTTTATTGCAGCACTGTTCACAATAGCAAAAACTTGGATCTAAGCCAAATGCCCATCAATGATAGAGTGGTTAAAGAAAATGTGTCACATATACAACATGGAATACAACACAGCCATTAAAAAAGGATGAGTTCATGTCATTTGCAGGGACACAGATGAAGCTAGAAACCATCATTCCCAGCAAACTAATACAGGAACAGAAAACCAAACACCATATGTTCTCACTTATAAGTGGGAGCTGAACAATGAGAACACATGGACACAGGAAGGGGAACATCATATACTGGGGCCTGTCAGGGGTTGGGGGGCTATGGGAGGGAGAGCATCAGGAGAAACACCTAATGTAGATGATAAGTTGATCGGTGCAGCAAACCACCATGGCATGTGTATACCTATGTAACAAACCTGCACATTCCACACATGTATCCCAAAACTTAAAGTATAATTTAAAAATTAAAAATTGAAGTACTGTATAATCCAGCAATTTCTTTCTTTGGCATATATCCAAAGAAAATGAAGTCAGTATGTCGAACAGGTATCTGCACACCCACGTTTATTGCAGAGCTATTCACCATAGTCAAGATATGGAATCAAACTAAATGCACTTCTACAGATTAATGAATAAAGAAACTGTGGTATCTATAATATACAATGGAATACTTTTCAGCCATAAAACAATGAAATAATATTTTCTGTGGCAACAAGAATAAATCTGGAAGACTTTATATGAAGTAAATTAAGCCAAATACAGAAAGACAAAGAATATATGATCTCGCTCATATATAGACTCTAAAAAAAGTTGACTTTATAAAAGTAGAGAGTAGAATAGTGGTTACCACATGCTGAGGAGGGGAGGTTAGAGGCAGGAATTAGGAGAGGTTGGTCAATGGATATAAAGTTACAGTTAGATAGGAAGAAAAGTTTTGGAGTTCTATTAAATATATATAGTGAATACTACACATCATATAGCAAATATCAATGTACTATATATTTCAAGATAGCTAGAAGATATTTATTGTTGCCACTATAAATAAATGATAAATATGTAAAGTGATAGGTATGTTACTTATCCTCATTTGATCAATATGATTTATATTATTGATAATGTAAATCAGTTTTCAGCAGGCATGTGGATATTTAAATATATACAAACATTTAAACATCACATTGTACACCATAAATATGTACAATCACTATTTGTCAACTATAAATTATAAATTTAATTTAAAATTTAATTTTTTAATTAAAAATGTGATGAAGGTAACTGGTCTTACCTTCTTCATTTCTTCTTTTAGAAGAAATAAAGATAATAAACTGTATGTAATGGTCGTGTATGGGCAGAGGAAGATAAGCCAATTAAAACTCATTAGAGGAAAAAGATTTTTCAATGTAGCATCAGAGTGGCATCAGCCACCCAAATTTGTTTAACCAGAACATAATAGAAATAAAGAACAGGCCTTATATATTTTCTTAGAACTTCCTAGCCACATTTTTTGCATTATTTCTCTTCAGAGATTCAGAGAGATCACACTTAACCACGCTTTCCTCATCTTACTATGTCTAGAATAGAATAGTCAGGTGCCACAAGGAAATTCTAGAGCAGTGTTATCCAATAGTACTTTCTGCAATGATACCAATATTCTACACACTCTCCAATATGGTAGCCATGAGTCATGTGTTGCCATTGAGCATGTAAATATGGTTAGTGGGGCTGAGAAACTCAGCTTTTATTATATCTAATAATGAATTTAATTATTATAAGATAAGTAAATGTAAAATAAATTATAAAATGTAAGTAATTTAATTTATATTATTTTATTATAAACCTGAATTGTTTTAGATTTTAATTTGAAAAACCTCACGTGATTCACAGTGTTCATACATAAATAATTTTTATTAGAATGTAGTCATACTCATTTGTTTACATACTATCTATAGCTGTGTTTGTGCTAAACAGCAGAGTCAAATAATTTCTATAGAGACCTTATGATCACAAAACCAATAATATTGCCTGACCCTTTACATAAAAAGTTTGCCAATGTTGCTTTAGAGTATTCTTTTGGTTTTAGTCTGGGAAGGGGTTCCTTGCTACCTGATTGGGATTTATGAGCTTTGTGAAATGGAGAAAACCTCTAGCACAACCCTACCTGACTTAATAGTTTGATTGTAGTCACTGATGTTTCTGGAGGTCCCTTAGTCCTAGAGAAGTATGTTGAAGACCTATTCTTTCCCTAATAAACTATGATGCACACCAACCCTGAGGTCCTCCAGGAGGAAATAGAAAGGTTTGGGTAATTACCGGGCATTGACTCACCAGGAAAATGAAAAACATCTCTCTTCTTTCTCTGCATCTCTATTGAGCACAAAATTCTATAACTATTTGTTGAGTGAATCATATAGATGAGTAAATTAATTTATTTACCCTCAAAAATGCAAATAGGTCAATACTCGTGCTTTCCTCTACTGCTAAAATATTTAATGCTTGTATACAAAGAGGACAGGAATCATGAAAAATATATATAATCATCACATTACCAAATACAGATTCTCATCATTTTCTTCTTTCCAATAATTTGCAATCAGAAAATGTAAAACTTTCTTAAGAAAGTTTATATTACTAACATTTATAATCAAGTGGTACACATGAAGAAATTATGTTCTGGTTAAACAAATTTGGGTGGCTGATGCCAGTCTCATGCCACATTGAAAAATCTTTTTTCTCTACTGAGTTTTAATTGGCTTATATTTCTCTGCCTGTACACAACCATTACATACAGTTTATAATCTTTATTTCTTCTAAGAGAAGTTTGTAAATATTATACTTGAAATATAATTTTAAATCATATCCAGAAGTTATGAAGAATGTGATACCTTTTTAAAAGCAAGAGACCTTGATATCCTTCTTAAAAAGCAATTTGCTTTGTAGAAATGCATACCCAATTCCCAAAACTAGGATTTATTGGTTAAAAAAATGCAAACCAAATGTGTTCCTTGACAAAAAGCTCTGAGTCAATTAAGCTTTTGGTTATTATTATCTGACAAGAAAGTGTTGGACTTTAACTCTTAGCTCTCCTCACAATATACACTGTTCCACATGTTTGAGACTAGACTCATTCTGTCCCATGGATTAGGAACATCCCTTCACCTTTCGTTATCTGGCAAACTCTTACACATCTTCTATGATTAAATTAGACATCACTTTCTTTAAGAAATCTCAGGCTGAGCTGAATGCACAGCCTAGGCACTCCCACAGTATCCCATACATCCCATTCATCTATCAATCATGGACTTATTTATCATATGGAAATTGTCTCTTGATGTATCTGACTCCCCAGTTAGATTTCAAGCTCTTTAAAAGTTCCTTGAAGGCAAGATTCAGTTCTAGCAATTACTTATTCAATATTAAACATTGAAAATTGAAATGAAATGAAAATTGAATTGAATTAAAAATTGAAATCTGTTCAACTCAGTTAAGTCAGAGACAGAAATCAGTTCAAAATCACTGAATGATTATATAAATCAGTTTTCAGTAGGCAGCCCTCCAAATCTACCTCCACAATAATTGGAATTCATGTGAATTATAAAAGAGGCAGAGGTGACATATTTCTGAATTTGGGAAATTTTTAATGAATTTCTAAAAAGAGGCCTGAGTGGTGATCCAATGTTTAGAAGTGTCTGTTCCCTACTACACCCTAATACTTAAAACTGATTTTACATAAACAGCTTTGTAGCCCTGAGGTTTTTAGTTTAATAAATTATTTTTTTAAACTTACTTGACAAATTGTAGGTCTGTTTCAGTTTTATTCCTGTTTTAACTTTATTTCCATGCAGGATTTTTAAGCCTTTACTATTTTTTTCTTTCAAACTTTTAGGTTCAAGGGTACATGCGCAGGTTTGTTACATAGGTAAATTTTATGTCACAAGAGTTTGGTGTACAGATAATTTTGTCACCAAGGTAATCAGCATTGTACCCAATAGGTAGTTTTTCAGTCCTTGCCCTTCATCCACCCTCCACCCTCAAATAGGCCACAGTGACTATTGTTCCCTTCCTTATGTCCATGTGTTCTCCATGTTTAGCTCCCACTTATAAGTGAGACTATGCAGTATTTGCTTTTCTGTTTCTGCATGAATTCACTTAGCTCATGGCCTCCAGCTCCATCCATGTTGCTGCAACGGCCAGGATCTCATTTTTTTATAGCTCCATGAGACATTTTAAAACCTATTTCCTCTTTTAAAATTTCATTTCTCTTTGTTTTTATCATCATTTTGATACTTATTTGGCTGGCTTTCCTTTATCTCTTTTTCAAAATTTGTCTTCTTTCTTCTGAACTCACTTTGTGCTTAGACACATTTTCTTATCTCTTTATCAATTCTCTAAAAACTCACATTATATTTAGACTTTCTCAAATTCAGAATCAGTCATGGGGTGGTTCCAAGATGGCCGAATAGGAACAGCTCCAGTCTACAGCTCCCAGCGTGAGCGACACAGAAGACGGGTGATTTCTGCATTTCCAACTGAGGTACCAGGTTCATCTCACTGGGGCTTGTCACACAGTGGGTGCAGGACAGTGGGTGCAGCCCACCAAGCGTGAGCCGAAGCAGGGCGAGGCATCACCTCACTCCAGAAGCACAAGGGGTCAGGGAATTCCCTTTTCTAGCCAAGGGAAGCTGTGACAGATGGTAACTGGAAAATCGGGTCACTCCCACCCTAATACTGTGCTTTTCCAATGGTCTTAGCAAACAGCACACCAGGAGATTATATCCTGTGTCTGGCTAGAAGGGTCCCATGCCCATGGAGCCTAGCTCATTGCTAGCACAGCAGTCTGAGATCAAACTGCAAGGTAGCAGCAAGGCTGGGGGAGGGCTCTACACCATTGCTGAGGCTTGAATAGGTAAACAAAGTGGCCAGGAAGCTTGAACTGGGTGGAGCCCACCGCAGCTCAAGGAGGCCTGCCTGCCTCTGTAGACTCCACCTCTGGGGGCAGGGCATAGCCGAACAAAAGGCAGCAGAAACTTCTGCAGACTTAAATATCCCTGTCTGACAGCTTTGAAGAGAGTAGTGGTTCTCCCAGCATGGAGTTTGAGATCTGAGAATGGACAGACTGCCTCCTGAAGTGGGTCCCTGACCCCTGAGTAGCCTAACTGGGAGGTACCACCCACTAGGGGCAGACTGACACCTCACACAGCCAGGTACCCCTCTGAGATGAAGCTTCCAGAGGAACAATCAGGCAGCAACATTTGCTGTTCAGCAATATTCACTGTTCTGCAGCCTCTGCTGCTGATACCCAGGCAAACAGGGTCTGGAGTGGACCTCCAGCAAATTCCAACAGACCTGCAGCTGAGGGTCCTGACTATTAGAAGGAAAACTAACAAAGAGAAAGGAAATCGACACCAAAACCCCATCTGTACATCACCATCATCAAAGACCAAAGGTAGATAAAACCACAAAGATGGGGAAAAAACAGAGCAGAAAAGCTGAAAATTATAAAAATCAGAGTGCCTCTCCCCCTCCAAAGGAACGCAGCTCCTCACCAGCAATGGAACAAAGCTGGATGGAGAATGACTTTGACAAGTTGAGAGAAGAAGGCTTCAGATAATCAAACTACTCCGAGCTAAAGGAGGAAGTTCAAACCCATCGCAAAGAAGCTAAAAACCTTGAAAAAAGATTAGACGAATGGCTAACTAGAATAACCAGTGTAGAGAAGTCCTTAAATGACCTGACGGAGCTGAAAACCATGGCACGAGAACTACGTGACAAATGCACAAGCTTCAGTAGCCAATTCGATCAACTGGAAGAAATGGTATCATTGATTGAAGATCAAATGAATGAAATGAAACGAGAAGAGAAGTTTAGAGAAAAAAGACTAAAAAGAAACAAACAAAGCCTCCAATAAATATGGAACTATGTGAAAAGACCAAATCTACATCTGACTGGTTTACCTGAAAGGGATGGGGAGAATGGAACCAAGCTGGAAAACACTCTGCAGGATATTATCCAGGAAAACTTCCCCAACCTAGCAAGGCAGGCCAACATTCAAATTCAGGAAATACAGAGAACGCCACAAACATACTCCTCGAGAAGAGCAACTCCAAGACACATAATTGTCAGATTCACCAAAGTTGAAATGAAGGAAAAAATGTTAAGGGCAGCCACAGAGAAAGGTCGGGTTACCCACAAAGGGAAGCCCATCAGACTAACAGCGGATCTCTCAGCAGAAACTCTACAAGCCAGAAGAGAGTGTGGTCCAACATTCAACATTCCTAAAGAAAAGAATTTTCAACCCAGAATTTCATATCCAGCCAAACTAAGCTTCATAAGTGAAGGACAAATAAAATCCTTTACAGACAAGCAAATGCTGAGAGATTTTGTCACCACCAGGCCTGCCCTAAAAGAGCTCCTGAAGGAAGCACTAAACATGGAAAGGAACAACTGGTACCAGCCACTGCAAAAACATGACAAATTGTAAAGACCATCGATGCTAGGAAGAAACTGCATCAACTAATGAGCAAAATAACCAGCTAACATCATAATGACAGGATCAAATTCACACATAACAATATTAACCTTAAATGTAAATGGGCTAAATGCTCCAATTAAAAGACACAGACTGGCAAATTGGATAAAGAGTCAAGACCCATCAGTGTGCTGTATGCAGGAGACCCATCTCATGTGCAAAGACACACATAGGCACAAAATAAAGGGATGGAGGAAGATCTACCAAGCAAATGGAAAACAAAAAAAGGCAGGGGTTGCAATCCTAGTCTCTGATAAAACAGACGTTAAACCAACAAAGATCAAAAGAGACAAAGAAGGCCATTACATATTGAATCAATTCAATAAGAAGAGCTAACTATCCTACATATATATGCACCCAATACAGGAGCACCCAGATTCATAAAGCAAGTCCTGAGTGACCTACAAAGAGACTTAGCTCCCAGAAAATAATAATGGGAGACTTTAACACCCCACTGTCAACATAAGACAGATCAATGAGACAGAAAGTTAACAAGGATATCCAGGAATTGAGCTCAGCTCTGCACCAAGTGGACCTAACAGACATCTACAGAACTCTCCACCCCAAATCAACAGAATATACACTCTTCTCAGCACCACATCACACTTATTCCAAAATTGACCACATAGTTGGAAGTAAAGCATTCCTCAGCAAATATAAAAGAACAGAAGTCATAAAAAACTGTCTCTCAGACCACAGTACAATCAAACTAGAACTCAGGATTAAGAAACTCACTCAAAACTGCTCAACTCCATGGAAACTGAACAACCTGCTCCTGAATGACTACTGGGTACATAACGAAATGAAGGCAGAAATAAAGATGTTCTTTGAAACCAATGAGAGCAAAGACACAACATACCGGAATCTCTGGGACACATTTAAAGCAGTGTGTAGAGGGAAATTTATAGCACTAAATGCCCACAACAGAAAGCAGGAAAGATCTAAAATTGACACCCTAACATCACAATTAAAAGAACTAAAGAAGCAAGAGCAAACACATTCAAAAGCTAGCAGAAGGCAAGAAATAACTAAGATCAGAGCAGAACTGAAGGAAATCGAGACACAAAAATCCCTTCAAAAAAACAATGAATCCAGGAGCTGGTTTTTGGAAAAGATCAACAAAATTGATAGACCGCTAGCAAGACTAATAAAGAAGAAAAGAGAGAAGAATCAAATAGACACAATAAAAAATGATAAAGGGGATATCACCACCGATCCCACAGAAATACAAACTACCATCAGAGAATACTATAAACACCTCCATGCAAATATACTAGAACATCTAGAAGAAATGGATAAATTCCTCGACACATATGCCCTCCCAAGGCTAAACCAGGAAGAAGTTGAATCTCTGAATAGACCAATAACAGGCTCTGAAATTGAGGCAATAATTAATAGCTTACCAACCAAAAAAAGTCCAGGACCAGACGGATTCACAGCTGAATTCTACCAGAGGTACATGGAGGAGCTGGTACAATTCCTTCTGAAACTATTCCAATCAATAGAAAAAGAGGGAATCCTCCCTAACTCATTTTATGAGGCCAGCATCACCCTGATACCAAAGCCTGGCAAAGACACAACAAAAAAAGAGAATTTTAGACCAATATCCCTAATGAACATCGATGCAAAAATCCTCAATAAAATATCCGCCATGATCAAGTGGGCTTCATCCCTGGGATGCAAGGCTGGTTCAACATACACAAATCAATAAACATAATCCAGCATATAAACAGAACCAAAGACAAAAACCACATGATTATCTCAAGAGATGCAGAAAAGGCCTTTGACAAAATTCAGACCTTCATGCTAAAAACTCTCAATAAATTAGGTATTGATGGGATGTATCTCAAAATAATAAGAGCTATCTATGACAAACCCACAGCCAATATCACGCTGAATAGGCAAAAACTGGAAACAATCCCTTTGAAAACTGGCACAAGAAAGGGATGCCCTCTCTCACCACTCCTATTCAACATAGTGTTGGAAGTTCTGGCCAGGGCAATTAGGCAGGAGAAGGAAATAAAGTGTATCCAATTAGGAAAAGAGGAAGTCAAATTGTCCCTGTTTGCAGATGACATGATTGTATATTTAGAAAACCCCATTGTTTCAGCCCAAAATCTCCTTAAGCTGATAAGCAACTTCAGCAAAATCTCAGGATACAAAATCAATGTACAAAAATCACAAGCATTCTTATACACCAATAACAGACAAACAGCCAAATCATGAGTGAACTCCCATTCACAACTGCTTCAAAGAGAATAAATTCAAAGAGAATAAAATACCTAGGAATCCAACTTACAAGGGATGTGAAGGACCTCTTCAAGGAGAACTACAAACCACTGTTCAACAAAATAAAGGAGAACACAAACAAATGGAAGAACATTACATGCTCATGGATAGGAAGAATCAATATCATGAAAATGGCCATACTGCCCAAGCTAATTTCTAGATTCAATGCCATCCCCATCAAGCTACCAATGACTTTCTTCACAGAATTGGAAAAAACTACTTTAAAGTCCATATGGAACCAAAAAAGAGCCCGCATCGCCAAGACAATCCTAAGCCAAAAGAACAAAGCTGGAGGCATCACGCTACCTGACTTCAAACTATACTACAAGGCTACAGTAACCAAAATACCGTGGTACTGGTACCAAAACAGAGATATAGACCAATGGAACAGGACAGAAAGCTCAGAAATAATACCACACATCTACAACCATCTGATCTTTGACAAACCTGACAAAAACAAGAAATGGGGAAAGGAGTCCCTATTTAATAAATGGTGCTGGGAAAACTGGCTAGCCATGTGGAGAAAGCTGAAACTGGATCCCTTCCTTACACCTTATACAAAAATTAATTCAAGATGGATTGAAGACTTAAATGTTAGTCCTAAAATCATAAAAACCCTAGAAGAAAAACTGGGCATTACCATTCAGGACATAGGCATGGGCAAGGACTTCATGTCTAAAACACCAAAACCAATGGCAACGAAAGCCAAAATTGACAAATGGGATCTAATTAAACTAAAGAGCTTCGGCACAGAAAAAGAAACTACCATCAGAGTGAACAGGCAACCTACAGAATGGGAGAAAATTTTTGCAATCTACTCATCTGACAAAGGGCTAATATCCAGAATCTACAAAGAACTCAAACAAACTTACAAGAAAAAAACAACACCATCAAAATTGGCCAAAGGATATGAACAGACACTTCTCAAAGGAAGACATTTATGCAGCCAAATGACACATGAGAAAATGCTCATCATCACTGGCCATCAGAGAAATGCAAATCAAAACCACAGTAAGATACCATCTCACACCAGTTAGAATGACGATCATTAAAAAGTCAGGAAACAACAGGTGCTGGAGAAGATGTGGAGAAATAGGCACACTTTTACAGTGTTGGTGGGACTGTAAACTAGTTCAACTATTGTGGGAGACAGTGTGGCAATTCCTCAAGGATCTAGAACTAGAAATACCGTTTGACCCAGCCATCCCATTACTGGGTATATACCCAAAGGATTATAAATCATGCTGCTATGAAGACACATGCACACGTATGTTTATTGTGGCACTATTCACAATAGCAAAGACTTGGAACCAACTCAAATGTCCATCAATGATAGACTGGATTAAGAAAATGTGGCACATATACACCATGGAACACTATGCAGCCATAAAAAAGGATGAGTTCATGTCCTTTGTAGGGACATGGATGAAGCTGGAAACCATCATTCTCAGCAAACTATCGCAAGGACAAAAAACCAAACACCGCATGCTCTCACTCATAGGTGGGAATTGAACAAGGAGAACACTTGGACACAGGAAGGGGAACATCACACACTGGGGCCTGTTGTGGGGTAGGGGGAAGGGGGAGGGATAGCATTAGGAGATATACCTAATGAAAATGGCGAGTTAATGGGTACAGCACACCAACATAGCATATGTATACATATGTAACAAACCTGCACATTGTGCACATGTACCCTAGAACTTAAAGTATAATAAAAAAAAATGAAAAGAAGAATCAATCACATTTATAGTTGTTTGCTAGGCATATCCACCAGCCTGCACTGCCAATATCTAAAATGCAGCAAGACCTGTATCAAATACCCACCTTCCTCCCCCATCCCTACTCCAAGGTTCTGCCTATCTTGAACTCAATTTTTTTATTTGTAGTACAACCTTAGTTTGAATCCTAATTGGCTGTTTTTCTCTTTATGTATAACATCAGCAATATACACATATCTAAACCTTAGCTTCCGTCTAAATACTTAGCCACCATCAATATAAAGTGTTACCTTGGGAAAATAGTGCAAGACAAATTCACCCCATATTTTCATAGTTCTTATGGATTCCCTTTTGGAAACATGTATTCAGAGGTCCTCCAAATTCTCTTAGATGAATTTAGAACTGAAGCAGTCTTTCTCAGGCTTAAGAAGAAAATATCAAGGTCTGTTGAATTTAAGGTTGCCAAAGTGTTCCTAGGCAGCTGTTCTGTATAATCTTGAAGGATGCATGGCACTTGTCAACGTAGTTTTTAAATTTGTCTATTATTAGGCATTAATCTATAAACCACAGCCTTAGGAAATTTATTGAGAAATAAGTCTAATGAAAATGCATAGAAATATTCTAACAAAACTTTCAGGTTGGTAAGAGACTCTAGAGATCAAACACTATATTGTCAGTATAAAGAAACCACAGTGGTAACAGAAAAAGAATGGAAATTCATATTCAACTACCATATAGATATTTGGAATTTACATTTTAAGTTTTTTAAAAATTCTCTTTATGCATTATTCTTAATCAAGTTTTCCACCTTTTATTTTTCTAAATACTGCAGGAAATATAGTTGCAAATTATCTTAGAATACCTGTGGCATATATTACATTTCTGAAATAATTTGCAATTCTTTAAAATAAAATTCAACATATAACTTTAAAGGGCTCTTATTGTCATGCTTTGTGAAAATATTAAGCTCAGTTATCCAATTCTGTAAATAAAATATAACAAAAAATATTAGTTTAACTAGAGAATTCGATAGAAAAAAACAAGACCTTTATGTCTCTATATGGAGAACATTGTAACCCTGGCCCATGTTTTTATGAAATAGCTACTTTCTGCAGAGTATTTTATCAGCAGAAAACAGCCTATGCCCTCAATTTATTTAAAATCTAGCTAGAGATTTAAAACACAGAGTACACACAAAAGCAAAACAAAAACCACAAACATTCATCTAGGCTTTTGACATATGTGGAGAAACAAACTAAGCAGAAGTTTAGGTAGTTTTCTGATGGAAATAGGTCTGGTGCAAAATATTTAAAATTAATTGAAAAACACAGAGGAGAGAATGGAAGTGAGTGAAAATATCACATGGGAGATCATGTTAAAATTTTTTCTAAAGGATAATGTCAACATTTGTGGATCATGAAGATCCTGAAGCTTAAGCTAACAGCTAACTTATCCCTCTGGTATGTACTTTTCGTTTTGGAATTTGTGTTCAACAATATGGATTAAATCAGAATTTAAGAATTTAAAAGATAAAATATTTTTGATGTTCATACAATTCCAGCTTTTCATGGTAGTAGTTTCCCTGTACAAAAGTGTGGTGAAGACAGACAAAAAAGATGAATAATTCAATTAGATTTTTGTAAATTCTATAAAGAAGCTTAGTACTACAAGCATAACGTAAAGGATATAGTGCTTAGCAAGAATCTATAGATTAATTCAAAAAAGTGGGAGAGGGGGAAAAATGCAGGGGGGAAAGAGAAGAGGGGAGAATATAGCTAATAAATGATTAGGTGAGGAGTCTTCACTAACATTTATAATTGAATACCTAAATGTTATATATTAAATGTTATATATAACATATATATAACCTAAATGTTATATATATATTTTTTCTGAAAAAATAAGTTTATATAAGAAAAACTTTTTATTGCTTTTCTAATACAATACTTTGTCATGAGCCATTATTTATAAGTAAAAAAAGTATTGCTAAATTAAAGAGAAAATGGCAGAGATCATGATATAAGAGACTATATATTTTAAGCAGATCAAGTTTTGTTAAATTGTTAGTCCAAGAAATAAACAAAAAATATTGGTACCAAAAGCATTGAAAATAAACATTTTCCTTTCTTTTTTATGAGACAATTTTTTAAACTAGAATAATTTGTATGAAGGTGAACAGATACTTCATTTAAGGAAAATATGGAAAAAAAGAAAATTTGTATGTAAACTAACCAGATGTTTATGATTAGTTCCTAGTTAACATCACCCAGCTGCCTAAAGATGATTTTTATGGAGGGAGAGCATTGTAGAATGCCATATGTTTAAATAAATCACGAGTATAGCAGTCATGATCCTGGAGCAAAAGAGCTACACATCCCATTTTAGGTAACCTCTTCAAATCACACCATATAACATTAGAACAGCCACTACTCCCCAACACAGTATCTGTTTCCAGTTTCCTCCTACATTTTGATGGGCGTCCTTATGTGTCAGCTTGCATTCTGTTTTCCAATGTTGTAAAACATTGTATGGGTTTTTGTACCAGATGAAGTCCATTACAATATTATGTACTAGTATCACTGGGTTGAGAAAACATATACAACAGTTATTTTACATTAAATATTTTCTTCTGGAAATAGGTTGTTGATATTTTGTTGAGATATCTGTTTCAAAGTCTATAGCTCAATATCAGTTAAAAAGCCATTCCTGACTAAATGTGATTTAAATAGAACTTTATATTTTCATCCCATTCAAACAATAAATATATATATTTGAACACCAAATATTTAATTCAATGGAAAAGAAATACAGGAAGAATTATGTTGCTTCCTTAAATTGAATTACATTTTATTATGTTGTTAAAAACTTTAAAATCAGCTTAATGGCTGCATAATATTTAACCCACAAATTAGGTAAAAATTAAGAAAATCTAAATAAAGTATATATTTAAGCTTATTGGTTTATTCATTATGACAAATGTACCATAATAATGTAAGATATTAACAATAAGGGAAACTTACCACAGGATAAATTGGAATTCTACTGTCATTGCAACATTTCTGTATATCTAAAACAATTTTTTTTTTTTTTTTTTTTTTTGAGACAGCATCTCACTCTGTCACCCAGGCTGGAGTACAGTGGCACGATCTTGGCTCACTGCAATCTCCGCCTCCCAATTTCAAGTAATTCTCCTGCCTCAGCCTCCTGAGTAGCTGGTATTACATGCGTGCACCACCACGCCCTGCTAATTTTTGTATTCTTAGTAGAGACAGGGTTTCACCATGTTGGCCAGGCTGCTCTCGAACTCTTGACCTCAAGTGATCTGCCTGCCTCAGCCTGCCAAAGAACAATTCTAAAATTAAAAGTTTATCCAAAAACTACTTAACTATTCTTAAAACTAGGCATTTATTTTTTAATGCATCTTTATGAACCGAAGTTTTGTTTACTGTTTTTTATCACTTCCTATTGGATTATTTTATATATATATATATGTGTGTGTGTATATATATATATATACGTGTATATATATATACATATATACGTATATATATATATGTGTATATATATATGTGTATATATATATGTGTATATATATATGTGTATATATATATGTGTATATATATATACATATATATATGTGTATATATATATATACATATATATATATATGTGTATATATATATATATATAGAGAGAGAGAGAGAGAGAGAGAGAGAGAGAGAGAGAGACTTGCTCTATCGCCGAGGCTGGAATATAGTGGTGTGATCTCAGCTCACTGCGACCTAAGCCTCCTGGGGTGAAGTGATTCTAGTTCCTCAGCCTCCCAAATAGCTGGGATTACACAGCACCACACCTGGCTAATTTTTGTATTTTTAGTAAAGAAGGGGTTTCACCATGTTGGCCAGGCTGGTCTCGAACTCATGACCTCATGTGATCCATCTGCCTTGACCTCCCAAAGTGCTGGGATTACAGGTGTGAGCCACTGGGCCCAGCCTGTATTATTTCTTGATTTTTAGTTATTATATCAAGGTATGAATATTATATACATATTTTAGAGAAAAGTTGTATAGGTTTATATTCTCACCATCAATGTATAAGATTGTCCTTCATCCTGTATTTTCCCCAACGATATATTATGAAAAATTTTCAATGTACCACAAAATAGAAATAACATTATCCTGAACACCGTATAGCCACCTCCTAGATTCTCCCGTTGTACTGCATATGCTATGTCCATGCCTCTATCCATCTATTAATTCCTCATATTTTTATGCATTTCAAATAAATTGCAGACTTCTGTTCACTTTCCAATAAATGCCTCAGCATGTATATCATTAATCAGTTTAATATTTAGAATATTTTCATATAAAATGTACAATAAAACACCCAAATCTTTTTTTATTATTATTATACTTTAAGTTCTGGGGTACGTGTGCACAATGTGCAAGTTTGTTACATGGGTATATATGTGCCATGTTGGTTTGCTGCACCCATCAACTCGTCATTTACATTAATTATTTCTGCTATGCTATCCCTCCCCCAGCCCCTAATCCCCGACAGGCACAGGTGTGTAATGTTCCCCTCCCAGTGTCCATGTGTTCTCCATGTGTTCTCATTGTTCAACTCCCAATTATAAATAAGAACATGCAAAACACCCAAATCTTAATCACGTGCCCTTGACAAATGTATATACTTGTGTAACCAAAATCTCTCCCGAGATATAGGGCATTGCCATTACTCCCAAAATATTCCTTGTGCCCCTTCCTGGTCAGTTCCCACAACCACCTGAGGCAACAACTATTCTGATTTTTTTCATCACAGATTAGTTTTTCTTGTTCTGGATCCTAATGTAAGTGAAGTTGTACAGTAGATATTCTTTTGCATATGACTTTTTTCACTGTAATATTTTGGAGTTTCATCTATTACATGTTATCAGCATATTGCTCTATTTTTCATACATATTACCCATAAATTGATTATAAAGCCCACAAGACACTGTTATATTTAATAAAATTGTGAAGAAAAATAGTCTTTTATAATTACCATATTTAATGCTTTTTATTTCTTGAAGATAAAATGAATAATGTTATATAGATTTTCATTTTAGATTTTATTATCCTATATTTATTAGACGTGTAAAAAACATCATCTCCAAATACTGACAATTTTTCTCCCTCTTAATATTTTATTTCTTATATGTTTTATCTTCATTGAGGTGACTAAAATTTCAAGTAAAAATTGTGCTATTAAACATATTTGTTTAGGTTTTGTTTTTAACCCTTGTTCTGGTTACCTGTTGTTGCATAGCAAATTATTCCAAAATATGTTGGCTTGAAACTACAGCCTATAAATGTTCACAATTCAAGGAAGTAACTGGACAATCTTTTTAACTCACATAAAGTTCACTAACGTTCTGGATGGCTGGAAGCTCCATTATGGCCTCATTCCCATGGTTGACAGGTGCTACTGGTCACCAGCTAAGAGATGAGTTGTCACTGATTTTACTCTCCTCACTGACTGCATTCAAAGCCAAATGAGCACAAAAGCAGATGAGCTTCAAGGCACGGGCAATTAAGCTTTACCTCCATGTGGGGTATGACTTGTGCAAGCAAGAAGGGAAGGGATTGTTGGGAGCCATCTTTGGAGACTAGGCACCACATCCTCTTAGTCTTATGCCAGTAAACATGACGTTGATACAGAATAGCCTTTTATTCCTAGTGTTTTAAAGAAGTACTATAATGAATTTTATCATGTGTTTTTATAAAATCAATTTTGAGATCATATATCCTGGTAGATTTCATAATACTAAAACAGCTTTGGGTTGCTTAAGTGTGTGCTTATATAAATGTTCAAGGAGAAATTTAATTATAGTTTTATACAAGTTGTTACAAAAATATAAATAGAACAAATGCTACCCAGCACTTGCAAAATAATACAAATGCTTAACTCAGGATATGTTGTTTTACAGGGTTGGAAATTTCCTATTATAAAATAGAAAACAAAACAAACCTTAAGGCCAAAAAGTTATGAATTTGATTAAAATGAATTGAGATATCAAAGAATGATATAGATAGAATTAATATACAATTACCAGATGCGAGCGAGAAGAAATTTTCAATGTTTAAAACTGACAAGAAACTCTCCTATCTAGAATGCACAAATCCACAGGAGTAAGATAGCAACTCTATTAGTAAAATGAGAAAAGATATCGTTAATCTTCAAAAAACGAAAATGAAAAGCTTAAAAGCACCAAAAAAAAAAAAAAATACAAGTGGAGGTATAGGTTTGTGTGGCCATGTTGAAGTACTATTTTGATGGTAGCACTTAATCAAACTAAGAATCCACAGCTACATAATCCAAATTCTGCTCCTGCGATAATATCCTAGAGAAATTGTCACACAGGTCTACAATAGAGACATATATGAAAATATTCTTCCTGGTAACATTACTGTAGCAGAGAGAGAGAGAAGCAAATTAGATGCTCATCAATGGAGGTATGGATAAGTAAAATTTGGTGAACCACTATGTAATAAAACAATTAGATGCAATGAATGAAATATATATGAAGCCACATCAAGACACCTATTGCATATCATTTTTTGCTCCAAAGTATGTGAAACAAAACAATAGCATATTAGTAAAAAGACATACTTCAAATGTACTTGAATGTTGCCAATAGAGAAGCGAAGAATAAGGATGAAGCGGAATGAAACATAAGAAAAAAGAGAAAGAAACTTTCACAAAAATGATGATAATATACCATAAGGTGTAGAGTACATAACTTGTTGCTCGCCTGCTTTTTTTGCATTCTTTGAATTTTTTTAAAAAGCTGGGATATGGCTACATATTTGCATGCAGTAATTTCCCAAGAAGAAACAAAAGTCAAAATTAGTACATGTTTGATAGATTAGAATCTGGTTGCTACATAAATATTAATCATTCAAGTCTTGTTCTTCTGTAATGTTTTGATTGCAACTAGCTCTCTGATATAATTGATTACCATTCAAGCAAAAAGTATACAAAATATTCTGTTTATTAAAAAACTCACTTAATGAAGAGACAAAAGAAAATTTTACTGGGTCAGTACAAATATTCAGATACTGTTTGTATGATAACGTATAATGCAAATAGCTAGCAAACGGAAGTGAATTCAGCTATAGTTAGATGTACTTATTTTCATTGTCCTCTTTAATGCAAAGTATACTGAAGGAAAATTTAGAGGTGCTTTTCAAATTAAGTTCTTTCTTCTTTCTCAACGATGTTGTAACTCTAAAAGGAAGACTATATCAAGTTCCCTCCAAACACTAGGAAATAATATTCTATTAAACAGCAACATACCATTCTCATTCCATTGTGTAACCTCAGATTCTTCCTTAAAACCTGTGTATATAGCACAATTTGAACGAAACACCAAAAAAATCATTTGTCACTTTTTCTGAATAAAGAACTGAAGCTCTAATTTTAAGTGACTTCCTATCATTATTTTTAAAAATTTCACAAGGGAAAATTGTCTCTACTGGGACAGTAGTGAAATTACAGGTACAGCATTTATTTAAAATGGAAATGTTTTTCTATCAAAATCTGATTTGCTAAATACAATTTTTTGTATTGTGATAGATTAAAAGAGATTAGAATAAACTTTGCTGTTATCAAGGAAAATTATCATGTTTTGATTCTCTAAAATATAGTCAAAACCTATTTACCATGCAAATCATTCCTCATATTAATAAAAACTGTTAACCCCTTCAGTTATAAACCATTTCCTATCACACAAATAATAAATAAGCCTGATTTGCTATAAGAGTTACATTTTTCTATGGAAAACTAGCAAAATGACTTCATAGAGGTATGGGCATAATAAAAATGCAATCCCCACCGTGCTTGGTTCCGATATACGTAAATTTCAATTACACAGATTAGTTAAATAACACTAGCCAATCAACAGCACAGTTCACATTTCAGTTACCATATTGTATTAACTGAGAACAACTGCAGAAAGTACAAACTTGGTTGCTAGCTCTTCAGATCACAAATCCCTACTATGTGATAACAGATACCCATCATGATCAGTGACCAAGTATGTCACTGCTTTTGCAGTGTTCCAGGGCTTGGTCACTATGTTCAGTTCATTCTCAGCTAAGCATACATCTCTCTGTTGCCTCCTTGTTTCTCAGGGAAAAACCCACCAATATGCCACTTTACAAAAATGGGTAATTAAAAGAAAGAATAGGTCAACAAAGATGAAAGTACAGCAAGGGCAAAAATGATAATGCTAGAAGAGAAACTTGAATCAAATATAAATGGAATCACAGAAGAGCCAGTTGAATGTAAGAATGTTGGTATTTGACATTTGATGCTCTAGATACACAGCCGGAGGAACTCAGGGAAGGCAAATTTATCAACATAAATAAGAAAATGGTTGTGACAAAAAGGATGACAAGGTCCCAGCAGAAGCTATGCTACAAAACAACTTCACATTAAAGGAACTCTCAAATATTTTATGATATTGTAAGTATAAAAAATAAAATGTTGGAAGCTGATCCAAACTTAGAAAGAAATATGACAATTCACCAATGAATATAAAAATGACCATTCAATAGGTATTGTCAGCTTTATGAGAAGGCAAGCAATATTCAATATATTTTTGATGTTATTTGTAAAGAAATAAAACATTTTAGTTCCCATTGTTTCTAATGTTTTGAATTACAGTGTACTAAAAATGATGACTTTACTATTTTTATTTCCTTATATATTGATAAATAACAGTAAAAAATTTTTTTAATGTTTTTCACATTTTGTTACACAAATTTTTAAAGATAATTTTTTTTAATTTTTTCCTATTAATAAAAATCACTTTCAACACATCAGGTAGCACAGTGACATTTACAGTCCACACTGTCTGTCCAAAGTGAAAGCTGCTTGTATTTTATGCATGCTCTTTTATAGTTTACAAATAAGTTTTAAAATACTAGTTTAATTTATGTTCTTGGAAGTTTAGAGAGAAAACTGATTATCTTCATTTTATAGTTGATGCAACCAGTTGAACTTTTGTTACATACCCAACATAAAGAGACTGGTAAGAAATAGACCCCATTGCAAATATGAAGTTGTTTATTTGCATTATAATCTATTCATATTTGATTATATACCTACAATGTACTAGAAGCAATAATCACCACTACGAACAATAGTGAACACTATAAATAGTTTTATTTTCCTTGTGAATCTTGCTATCTTATGTCCATCTCTGTTCCTTACTTTCACATGGAAAAAATTGAATTCTGTAGAAAAAAAATTTGATGGCAAGAAAGTAACACACATTATGAGTCACTTTGTTCAAGATGTCCTATGTGTATTTTCCCAATTGAAGCCTGGGGTTAATATTTCTCTTAGGCCAAAGATGGTAACTCATGTGACAATAATATATATGTTTCACCAAGAGTATATAATATTTATCGTCTTGCTATTTGGGTGTTTTTAGTGTGATGTGGCACAAGCTTTTAATTCACATTAAAGAAATGTATTCTGATCTTCATTTCTAGGGTAAGTCCCAACTATATTTCAAAAAGAATGATAAAAGTTGTGAATTTTGTATATCTGGCACTATATATTAAATGTGAATCCAAATTTTTGACTTATGACTAATTAGACAGCCTATAGTTGCAATTTTTTCTATTTAAGAAATAAAACATTTAACTTAAATTTCAACAATCAAGATGAAGCAGATTTCAGCTGATTATAAAATGTTAAATTATCATTGAGCTCTATTATAAGGATGAGTAATTTAAAACAACAATGTAGCATGTTTCTATAGTTTCTCAATACCCAATTTTCTGCTCAGAGGCAATATTGGAAGGTGATTTCACTCTATTTATTCACAGTAATAACTCCTATATAAATATCATATACAAGTATATACGTGTGTACATATGTAACTATACATACATATAACTATAGGCAGAACAGTAATCAGACATGTTAAACATAACAAAATATTTCTGAACATAAAACACATAACAAAATATTTCTGAACATAAAATATTTCTATATATATATTTCTATATATTTCAATATATAGAAATATGAAATATTTCTATATATATAAAAAACATGCCGTTTTACAGTTAAGCAACAATACTGCTGCAATAAGAAATTATCTAATTTATGGTCATTTTAAAATTTGCCATATAATGAATGTATTTGATACTTATAATAAACCTAGACAGGTAATTATTTTCATTCATATTTCCTTTCCAACAACAATAATCTCACATTATGTTTTACATTACCTATTTCATATTTTCCAAATATTAAAATCTCTATTTTTTTCATAAATTTTGTGTGCATTCTTATATCTATTAACTGATCCCCTATATCTAAATCCATTAGCCCAATATTGATGGCAATGGGAGAATCAAATTTTGCATTCTCGTGTAATATTTTAACTTTAAAGAGTATCCACATTCTTTGATACTTAATATCAGGTATGTTATGTAGTATAAGCATTATCCTTGACTAAGACATCAGTTTAAAACAAAGAAAACATTTTAGGTGCCTAAAGGACATTACCAAGATCAGAATCTGTAATTCTTTATATATGGACTCATAAAATTTTTATTTTAATATGTAAATTATATTATAATTATACTTTTAATATTTTAAAATCTTCTTGTAACAAACACATAAATGTAGTTCATTTTAATCATCATACCTTTATCTAAAAATTCCTGTTATATTCAACCATTGCAACAGATTCTGAAAATACAAAAGTGAATAAAATTGTTCTTACCTAATGAATATAATCAATAGGATAAATGTCATAATGTAAATATGCAAAATTCCACAAGAGCAGACAGAAAGTTTTCACTGAGTTAAGGAGACTTGTGAAAGTTCCATTTATGATTATATGAATTTTATTTGGTTTAGATGAGCAAAGCAAACCTCATCATATGTATCATAGTTTATTCTGTGAAAAACATTGTAATAGTTTTCCTCTTTAAAAATTATAAGCAGCTGGGTGCAGTGGCTCACACCTGTAATCCCAACACTTTGGGAGGCCAAGGCGGGAGGATCACCTGAGGTCAGGAGCTCGAGACCAGCCTGCCCAACATGGTGAAACCCCATCTCTACTAAAAATACAAAATGTTAGCCAGGCATGGTTGTGCACGCCTGTAATCCCAGCTACTCAGGAGGCTGAGGCAGGAGAATCGCTTGAACCAAGGAGAGGGAGGTTGCAGTGAGCCGAGATCACACCACTGCACTCCAGCCTGGGCAACAAGAGTGAAACTCCATTTCAAAAAAACAGTATAAGCATAGCTGGGTGTGGTGGCTCACACCTGTAATCTCAGCACTTTGGGAGGCTGAAGGGATCACTTGAGCCCAGGAGTTTGAGACCAGCCTGGAGAACATAGGGATATCCCATCTCTAAAAAAAAAATAGTAATTTTTAAAAAGCATAGAAATTTCAGGTAGTATGTGTTGACATAAAATGAGGAAAATGAGACTACTGCAGAGTACGTCTTACTTTGAGAACAACTTCCCCCTAAGAGTAAACCCCACAAACAAAAATAGGTAACCATATCTATATTGGTTATTATCCTGCATCATAGATAGTCCATCATGACAGCAGATAGCACAAAATCTGTACAGGAGTCATGGGAGGATGCCCACTGAGTTCGACACCTGCATTTGCCATTTGTGTAGTAGATCTGTGTGTGTGGTGTGTATGTATTCATTAATTTTAGACTGGATTCAGTGACACTAGCTATAATAGTTGAGATTTTAAAAGTCTTACCCTTCATCATCTCTTTCTGCTACTTCCCATCTATGTTGCCAAATTTTTATAATTTTTGCTTAAATTTTGAAAGATTACTATTGTCTAATATGGAGTCAAGTGGCATGCTATTTTCATATTTTCTTTTTCCCATGATTATTTTTCTTGGGTCATTTTTCATAATTTACTTGGTTTTCTATTTATATGCCAATAACACATGATATTCCTTGCAATAATTTTCCAATGTTCAGTTACATCATGTAAGTATCAATTTATATCTCTTTGCAACCTAGAGACTACCATCCCAGCCTCTCTTCCTATTCCGGTTTAGATACCTCTTCCCAGGCCTACTTCTCAGAGGCTGCTGTGAACCTGATTGCCTATTTCTAACCTGAAGCTTTTACCAGCTATATTAGTCTGTTTTCACACTGCTATAAAGAACTACCTGAGACCGGGTAATTTATAAAGAAAAGAGGTTTAATTGACTCACAGTTCCACATGACTGGGGAGGTTTCAAGAAACTTACAATCATGGCAGAAGGCGAAGTTGAAGTAAGGCACGTCTTACATGGCAGCAGGAGAGAGAGAAAGAGAGTGAGGAGGGTATTGCAGTGCACTTTTAAACCATCAAATCTCATGAGAACTCACTCACTATCATTAGAACAGCATAAGGAAAACCACACCCATGATCCAATCACCTCCCACCAGGTCCCTCCTCTGACACATGGAGATTACAATTCAAGATGAGATTTGGGCAGGGATACAGAGCAAAACCATATTATTCTGCCCCTGGCCCCGTCCAAATCTCATGTCATTCTCACATTTCAAAACACAATCATGCCTTCCCAACAGTCCCCAGAAGTCTTAACTCATTCCAGCATTAACCTAGAAATCCAAGTCCAAATTCTCATCTAAGATGAGGCAAGTCCCTTCTACCTATGAGCCTGTAAAATCAAAAGCAAGTTAGTTACTTCCAAGATACATTGGTGGTATAGTCATTGGGTAAATGCTCCCATTCAAAAAGGGATAAATTGGCCAAACCAAGGGGCCACAGGCCCCATGCAAGTCTGAAACTCAGCAGGACAGTCATTAAATCTTAAAGCTTCCAAATAACCACCTTCATCTCCATGTCTCAAATCCAGGGAATGCTGATGCAAGGGGTGGGCTCCCAAGGCCTTAGGCAGCTCTGCCCCTGTGGCTCTGTAGGGTACAGCCCTCAAAACTACTTTCATGGGCTGACATGAGTGCCTATGGCTTTTCCAGACACATGGTGCAAGCTGTCAGTGGATCTACCATTCTGGGATATGGAGGATGGTGGTCCTCTTATCACAGCTCCACTAGGCAGTGTCCCAGTGGAAATTCTGTGTGGAGTCTCCAACCCCACATTTGCCGTCTGCACTGCCCTGGTAGAGGTTCTCTGTGAGGGCTCCACCCCTATAGCAGACATCTGCCTGGACATCCAGGTATTTCCATACATCCTCTGAAATCTAGGCAGAGGTTCCCAAACTCTTGCCTTCTGCACACTCCCAGGCCCAATATCACATGGAAGCTGCCAAGACTTGAGGCTTGCAGTCTCTGAAGCAATGGCCTGAACCGTACATTGGCCCTTTTTAGCCACAGCTGGAGCTGAAGCAGGGCACCATAACCTGAAGTTGCACAGAGCAACGGAGTCTTGGGCCTGTCCCACAAACCATTTTTCCATCCTAGACCCCCAGGCCTATGAAAGGGCCTATCGTGAAGGTCTCTGACATGCCCTGGAGACATTTTCCCCATGGTCTTGACCATTAACATTCAGGTCCTCTTTAATCGTGCAAATTTCTCCAGCCATCTTGAATTTCTCACCAGAAAACCATTTTTCCTTTTCTATCACACGGTCAGACTGCAAATTTTCCAAAATTTTATGCTCTGCTTTCCTTTTAAACATAAGTTCCAATTCCAGACCATCTCTTTGTGAATACATATGAATGTATACTTTCAGAAACAGCCAGGTAACATCTGGAATGCTTTACTGCTTAGAAAATTTTTCTGCCAGGTACCCTAAATCATCTCTCTCAAGTTCAAAGTTCCACAGATCTCTAGGCCAGGGGCAAAATACTACCAGTCTCTTTGCTAAAGCATAGTGAGAGTGACCTTTGTTCCAGTTCCCAATGAGTTTCTCATCTCCATCTGAGACCACCTCAGCCTGGATTTCATTGTTCATATCATTATCAGCATTTTGGTCAAAACTATTCAACAAGTCTCTAAGAAGTTCCAAACTTTCCCAAATTTTCCTATCTTCTTCTCAGCCCTCCAAACTCTTCCCACCTCTGTTTGTTACACAGTTCAAAAGTTGCTTCCACATTTTCAGGTATCTTTATACCAGTGCTTCACCCTTGGTACCAATTTTCTGCATTAGTCCATTTTCACACTGCTATAAAGATACTATCTGAGACTGGGTAATTTATAAAGAAAAGAGGTTTAATTGACCCACAGTTCTGCATGGCTGGTGAAGTGACTGGAAACTTACAATCATGGCGGAAGGCAAAGGTAAAGCAAGACATGTCTTACATGGTGGCAGGACAGAGAGAGAGAGAGCAAGGGAGAACTGCCACACAGTTTTAAACCATCAAATCTCATGAAAACTCACTTACTATTAGTAGAACAGCATGGGAGAAACCACCCCCCATGAACAAACCACCTCCCACCAGGCCCCTCCCCCAACACATGAAGATTACAATTTGAGATAAGATTTGAGCAGGGACACAGAGCCAAACCACATTACCACACTTGCAGACTACTTGATTTCTCCTGGTGCTAGGAACTTTAGGTGTTCTACCAGACAAACTGGTGCTGTTTCATAGGCATCAACCCTCTCTATCCACTTAGGTTGTAACTTCCTTTGCTTTCATGAATCAACTGCAATTCCGCTGTCAGCTTTATATTTTTCCAAAATGTTTAAAAATTTGTTCTATGATGTTCTATCATTCTATTATTCTTGGTGATTAATCTTTTTTTTCTAATTTACTATCTTTTGATGCTGAGAGAGAGAGAAAATAAACACGTAAGTTCAATCTATTGTGCGTATGAAGAAATAGTCTTCAACACGTTTTGCAGGAAAGAAATAAAATACAATCCAATAAGAATAAATATAAAAGCAGGTAAAAAAATATTTCTCCATTACTAGGCCCAAGAGGAGTGAAGAAAATGAGGTCCAAGAGTTGTATTTTGATAAATTATATTACAAACCAGTCAATACTAAATCTGGAGTTCTTCTTTCATCTCTGTTTTATTTTTCAATATTTCTTCTACCGTTTTGACTGTGAAGTGAATTGGCACACACTAAATACAGGGAAAGTGGAGATATTTTAAGCATTAGCTGATTTAAGAAAAAAGTAAGCCTAAATTAAGGTTTATTTTACTAATTATGCACAAATTAAAACACATTCATTACAATGTGCAATATTTTCTGATACTATAGGAAATATTAGCATTTGATATATTATTCATATAAAATGTTTATTGAACAATGTTATTTATATATATGAGCAATTATTTTTAAAACTTACGATAGCTGAAATATTTTGTTATACAAGATCTGGAACCCAGATGAATCATTCTGATTTCAAGATTTTTTAAATCTGAATTTTTAGAATGAAAGTTTTTATATGCTTAACTGCTTCTGAAAGAAATTACAGTTTGCCATTTATATCAAATACTAACTTGGTCTGAATCACAAGAATCATGGAAGATGAATCTGCCAGAGTGAATCCGAAGCACTTCATCTGACCTATACAGCAGATTTCTTCTTATTGAAGTAAAATATTTATATGCCCATTTAACAGGTGAGGTAGCTGATACTCATGATATAGTTTCTGCCATTACCAAGGCAGGGACCTTGTCTCCTGCTCCTCCAGACCAGTACTCTCAAGTTTTCAAGAGAAATCTTTCAAAGATAATGTTTATTCTATTATTAATGGAACTAGAGAAGTACCCCGAAAAAAAAAATGCAACTAAAAAAGTATACATAAGACAGTGTCTCAGTCCATTTCGGCTGCTAAAGCAAAAACCATAGACTGGATAGTTAATTTATAAAGTACAGAAAATTATGCCTCACCGTTCTGGAGGGTGTGAAGCCTAAGATCAAGTACATTTGGTATCCAGTGAAGGTCTGTTCCTGGAGGGTACTTTCCAGCTGTGTCCTCACATGGTGGAAGGGTGAAGGCAAATCTCTAGGGCCTCTTTTATAAGAACACTAATCCCATTTATGAGCTCTCCACCCTCATAACTT
This sequence comes from Homo sapiens, assembly GCF_000001405.40. Lineage (NCBI taxonomy): Eukaryota > Metazoa > Chordata > Mammalia > Primates > Hominidae > Homo > Homo sapiens. The sequence continues at coordinate 111,587,280 of NC_000004.12, forward strand.
AATCACATCTGAGATGTCCTACCTCTTAATATCATTGCATTGGTGATTAGATTTAGACATATAAATCTTAAGTGGACATAAACATCCAGACCAGAGCAGACAGGGTTTTTAGAGTACTCTACAATAAGGGTCTGAACCCCTGATTTTTTATAGTGATTGAATCAGTCATTTGACATTCCATCCTAATTAAAGCTTCTTCCCTGTTAATTGCTCCTCCTGTACATCTCCTCTTCTTTTCTCCCAAGAGCCACGTGCCCAGTGAGTAAACTATCATCTCTGTTCTTTCTAATGCACAACTCATACAAGCCATAATGTGTGATATTTCAATTGTTAGTTTTCATAGATGTAGACAAATATCAGCTCGTTTGAAATTGAGATACCACAATAATTTAATCTTTCATTTAAAGCACATTTTAAACTTAGGTGCCTGTGAGGTAAAAAGTTAATGCATTGACTTGTGTGTAGCTCCCTTGTCAAAATGGTCTTGTTGGCTGAGCATGGTGGCTAACACCTGTAATCCCAGCATTTTGGGAGGCTGAGGCAGGTGGATCACGAGGTCAGGAGTTCAAGACCATCCTGACCAACATGGTGAAACCCCATCTCTAGTAAAAATACAAAAATTAGCCTGGTGTGGTGGCGTGTGCCTGTAATCTCAGCTACTCAGGTGGCTGAGGCAGGATAATCTGTTGAACCCGGAAGGCAGAGGTTGCAGTGAGCCGAGATGGTGCCATTGTACTCCAGCCTGGGTGACAGAGTGAGACTTCGTCTCAAAAAAAAAAAGGTCTTGTTTTTGCCCTAAGTTGGTATACTATTTCAATATACTGTACAGCTACTAGGTAAATATGACATTCAGATTTGATCCCCAAAGGTACAGAAAGCTACTGACATAGTACTATCTCAAATAATAGATATTAGAAATAGTTTGCTTTTTGAGACTCATTTTTATAAAATTTCTTATTTTTTTCTGTAATGAAGTCAGAGAATGCTGCCCTTGGTATATTTATGTAAGTTGAAATAAATTATGTCCCAATTATATTTAAACTTCTCTTTTATAAGATTATGTAAATATTTACATTCATGGACAAAAGTATTTTATTATGATAATAAGCAAATGTGTGTTTGATGAGGATGGGGAAGTCACAAAAATATAATGACCTTAGGAAAGGAAATTATACAGCCTTTGTTTATGAATTTTCATATATGATGCACAATGTTTTTACATACCTGTTTAACACAATCACTTATTTTAAATCTTAACTGACCTGTAGTTTTGTCCTCATATATTTTATTATTGTATTTTTCTTATTCATATGCCTATACTTAATAAATTAACTTAGAAACACAAGCGGTTATAACCAGTAATGTCCCCATACTTAGAAAACCAAAATAGAATATGCTAATTAATATAAGACAAGTAGAATTTCTGGTGAAATGACATGAAATGAAAGCAAACAGTATGGCTTCATTTGCTAATTGACTAAGTAAGTTCATCCTCATGTGAGAGTTTTACCAAAATGTGTATTAAAAACTTTCCTGCCACAATAATGTCCTAATTCTTTCAGGCTGGTGGGAACTAGAAGCAACTTTTCCTTCCCAGGGTGTGGTAAACGTAAAACTGTAAGCTGATTGAAAACAAAAACATCTCTTTTAAAAGTAGGAATCTTGTCTTTAACAACTGTGGAACTAATGGTTCTCCATAGTGAGACAAGCAAGGAAATGGGAAAAAAGGAGATTCTTAACACTGCTATTGCCTTCTTATTTAATATTGTTTCTATTATTCATTGTTGACCTTTTTTGTCAAACTATAGAAATTCAGTTTCTTTTTAGTTTTCCCTTTTATTCTTTTTAACGTCAGTACAATGGTAGTGAATAATACAAGTCTTGTACTTGTCCACTCATTTATTTTTCTTGTCATTTCAATTTTGTGATGAAATGGCCAGCCCCAAACACCTCTGCACAGACTATGTTCTCTTGAGAGTGATACAGAATCATCCTTTTGTATGCTAATAGTGCTGCCTGTCTGCAAAAATATTCACTGTGGCATGTAATGCCACATTTCAAAATTCATAAATGTAATTTATGAATTGCCCACAAAAATCATTGTAAATTTTTAATCATTGAGATTCTTTTGTCAAGCAACAAAAAAAGTGAAATAAAGAAGAAAAATCAGAAAAGGAATAAAGTGATTAAAAGAAAGTATATTTCTATAAATACTTTCACGTGGTATGAATTGTGATGTCACAAGTAGATAAAAGTCTAGGATGCAAAGAAGTTTTAGCTTAACTTTTTCTGTTAGACAGAGAAAGACAACTAGTATTAGGCCAAATAAAAATATATATTTATTCAACCATTTATTTATTCCCACCTTGTTTTACAAATCATTTCAGATAGATATACTTAGAGCTGGATATGAAAAACTTTATCTAAAAAACTGAGTTTTGTTTTGTTTTTCTTTTTGCTCAATGCTGCATAGGATCGGTTATGAAATGCCAAACAATATATTCAATATCAATATCAGGATATGTTTCACGAATGTCCGAAATCTAGCACCAAATGCCATTACTGGACAGGAAATGAGTGCTTTAGTTAAGCCGGTCCAGAGGAAAATAGTATAAATTATACACTTGCACATTAATTAAGAGCAGTTAAAGGTTATTTGTGTAAATGGCTTCCATACCACCAGATTCTGAATGATGGGGGTTGACTGGATTTATCAATGATTCTCAATCACCTGACCCTTAATTACAGACTGCTCTCCAAACCTATAGTTAAGAGTATTAAAGTGAATGTTCCTATCATCTGAATCATGGTGTGGAGTTGTGTGGGTCACCAGGTTAAAAGAGAATTCATTAGATAGACTTCAGGGAATAATGTTGGTGATCACTTTCTCTATTTACTACTGTTGTATTGAACAAGTTAACGTGTACAAGAATAGCTTTTCATTAAATGGCTGAAGTTAATTTAAAATGAATGCTCTTTTATAATTGTAAAAGAGAAACTGACCTCATTACTCTTGGCTTTTCTTACATCATTTTTCTGGATTAATTTTATTATGGTGTATAATTACTTGGGCATTATATCTGGAATAAAACAACTCTGTTTATCATGATAACTTTGAAATAATTTATTAATCCAAGGACACAACGTATAAAACAGGTCTTTTTTTTGAGAGTTAGAAACATAAAGTGTCTCACTTCTAAAGAAAATTCTTGCCTAGGATTTCAAGGGCTTATCATCAGGACTTTAATAAGAGAAAATATGTGATGGTGAGTTGTTACAGGAATGTGAAATGATTTGGAAAACTTGTCTCGATATGTTGGAAAATCCAGATACCGTACAGAATGCAAACCAAAACATCCCCACCCCTTCCCCACCTCACATATGTCCCCACCCAAAAGATGTTGAAAACTGTGGATCATGCTTTAAAAACAATTGAAAGCTAGCCAGAGTATATATGTACGTGTGTGTGTGTGTGTATAATATGCATATATGAATCCTTAAAAGGTCATATAGAATTAACTTAATATTTTTCTTGATTCTTGTGATTCTGTTCCTTATGGTAATAAAATATATTGAAATACATCAATGAAAATGTGTAATATAAATAACTCAATGACAAAATTTAAAAACAAAATGGCAAACTTACCTGGTACTCGCATGTCTTCCTCAAATCTTGCCACTACTACAAATGCTTTAGATTTCTACTCACAAATGCACGAAGATTGAAATCCCAGTTTCATACATATATTATTTGATACTATGGCTTTATTCTGTGATAATTAGTATTTCTAAATCTGTTTCAAATTACCAACAGTTCTCATAGACATTGTGCTCCAGAGAACATACCAGTAACATGCAGCAGGATAATATCAAAATGGAAGATTTCATGATGAGAAGTAAATAAAACTCCAGGTGGAAATGCAAACCTTTTCCCTGATAGGATGAGAAAACATTGCGCTAACACTGCAACCATATTCAATATAAAGTCTGTCTTAGAAAACTTTTAGCTTTGAGAAAATTCTTTAGGAGATTATTGTACCTTATTTTCAAATGCAAAGTTCTTCAAATTCAGAACCACTAACTGCAATGAGATAGTTAATTAGTTCCTAACATTTTACCCACTTCCTTTTATCATTATTATTTGGGAAAAAATAAACACAGATAAGATCCATACTTTCTGAAAGAAGTTCCAAGTAAAATACAGCACGGGGAGGACAAAAACAGCAAAATAGAAATTCTTTGATACTTTGGAAAGTTTTTGAAAGTCTTTCTCTCATTAAGCAGCACATCAAGTAAAGAAGAATATATTCAAAAATGTTAAAAATAAGAGAAAAATATATTGCGAAACCTTAATACTGTACATATTTTTTCTTTTCAAGATTGAAAATCTGCTAGACTGCCTCCATTAAATATATCTCACCTACCTGACATTTGTATGTTAATTATATCTAATTCAACAGTATATTTTGAGCACAGGGGAAATTTTCTACTGGAAAACCCAAGTGATAGAAAAGTGAAGAGCTTTCCAAAAGATTCCCTCTTAGGTATTCAATTCCCAGTTCAGTGGCTTCCTTAACAGCTTTTACAGTTACATGGTTTTTAAGCAGTAAGTATTCTGAGGCATTCCTCCAAATATACAGTGTCAGCATCATAATGGAATAACATACATGTCAAGTAAAATGCACTTTTAATAATTTATTGTTTCCTTTTTGTAGAGATACATTTGTAGTAAGTACAGTAAGCTTTCTATTAAAATCCCATTCAAGGAATCATTCTGTAGGTCTAGTTCCAAAGTTAGTTATTGGATTTTTTTCTTTAGGTATCAAATATTTTTAGGTGTACTTTAAACTTTATGCCCAAATTGGTTTACTGATACTGTAATTAAATATTGGGGTTTTTCAGACATACATATTTTGCACATATACAGCCATAAATGTTTATGTATACTGCATATGGTCATAATGTAGAATTATAAATTTGTTACTCAAGAGGTACATTCAACATTTTGATGTTAATTTGGATCTATAAAGAAGGAAAAATAAACTTAGAAACTTCAGTTCTGTGTCAAATTATAAATCTTTCTGTTTTTTAATAAACTCAGAAAAAAATCAATGTTTTTAGATTTCAAACTAAACTATAAACTTTCAGGAGTAAGAAGATAGTGTCACTTCAAATTACCTACCAAACCATAAAGGCTCATCAAGGAAAATACGAACAAGGATATTTCTACACCTTTTTCTTATAACTAAGTGTTTTCAAAATTCCTCTTAGTCCTGAGTTAGAACACTATACCAAGTAAGAGTATAAGTTTTTAAATTTAAATTTAATTTTAAAAATTAAATATAATTTTTAATTTTAAATTTAATTAAAAAAACTAAATACTCTGGAAAACTTTGAGAAGAGATATTTAATATTTTGCAAGTATATTTTTAAAATAAAAGGTACATCCCCTGAAAGTTTACTATTGTAATAATTCTTTTCAATTAGGGATTCTCTGACTCTACAATGATTGGCTAAAATATCAAATTAATTAAAACGTTTGAACAATTTTCCAAGCCATAGCTCTATTTTGCTTCTTCTTTTATTATTTATCTTGGTGCCCTGGCTGCTACACTTCACCATCCCTTCTTCTACCTTCCTATAGATTCATAGATTTTTCTTTGTTCTGTGATGGAGATTAAAATAATGGGACTTAATGTTTTATGTAGTTAACATGTTTTAAATATTTGTTCTAGAAAGTAGCATTGTATATCTTTTGAATTGGAAAAATTTGATTCAGCATATGTAGAGTGTGATATTAAGAGGAGGGGGGAAGAGAGAAAAAGAGATTGAGACATACTGATATGAAAACAATTATTAACTGTACTCTGTGGCATCCTAATTCATATTGAGCCTTATAAGTTTGTATCTGTGGTTGTCAAGGAGAGTTCAAGTATAAACAGAGACAGTTTGAGCCCACAATCCATTTTAATGATCATAAGACTTATTAGCACGTTAATAAAGGAGAGAAGTATTAGGCATGCATGAACACATAAAAATTGATTAAAGTATCTCCAATTACTTATTTAGGCAAAAAAAAAGTAGAAGACAATGAATAACTTTATAAAGATTGTGTTAAGAAATGCTGCATTCATTGTTGAACTATTAATATTTTGCTTTTGTCTCTGTTTCAAGTAAATGAAACTTAAAAATTTTAAAACTACATTTGAAATTTTTCTTTTGCAATAATGTACACAAAACCTGCCAGCTTTACAGAGCCTTAATATTAAAGAGTAATACGCCGGGTGTGGTGGCTTACGCCTGTAATCCTAGCACTTTGGGAGGCTGAGGCGGGTGGATTGCCTGAGTTCAGGAGTTCGAGACCAGCCTGGGAAACCCGATGAAACCCTGTCTCTACTAAAATACAAAAAAAAATTATCTAGGCATGGTGGCATGTGCCTGTTATCCCAGCTACTTCAGAGGCTGAGGCAGGAGAATTGCTCGAACACAGGAGGTGGAGGTTGCAGTGAGCCGACATCGTGCCATTGCACTCCAGCCTGGGCAACAGAGCAAGACTCTGCCTTGAAAGAAAAAATTAAAGAATAATTACTCAAATGTTTTATAATTTCAAAATATCTCCAAATAATCAACATAAAAATTACGGCAAAATTAAGGAAGCCTATTTATTTACAGTATAGTTGGTTAATGTAGTTAATTGGTGTCTATTACATTTCAATCAGTGGTGTGTTCTGTTAAAACAAAAGAGGAAAAAAAGTGTACTTCTTATTTTTTAGGAATTTACCATTTATTTGGGTAAGTTATTCACATGCCCATATAAATATGTAAAAAATAGCTTTCTTCTGTAGAGAGCAAATTTGTAAATTTTCTAAGTCTTGTATACTACCTATGAGTCTCACTTTTCACAACAGATACGCTTTTAAAATACTCATATAAATTTATCTAAATTAAATAATGTTCTAAAAGCAGGATATGAGACTAGCATCTAAATGCACTCAATTTATTATTTATATATTGTAAAAATTCTTTTACATAGACAATTATTATCTATGAATGATATGATTTTTAACTGTATTTTTATCAATTTTCTAATACACATCTAATTAAAAGCAAACAGGTGATAAATGAAATCTACACGTGATTAAAAATAAAATAAAGCCATTGCATCTATAATTTTAAAATGCAATAATCCATTTGGTTTACTCTATCAAAAATATGTAATAAATTTGTGATAAAGGAAGCCATCAATTCAATAACATGATTTTGCCTTCTAACACTCAAAGGCCTTATAAATTTTTCTTTGATTTGTATCTTCTGTTTTATTGTCACAAAAGACAAGTGAATCAATTTTCACTTGTAAATATAATTGCCACCACTGTATCCTCATAAACAATACACTTTAATATTTAACTACTATGAATTATGGATGGTTAGTTATCTAATATCTACCAAATTGTCCTACTACTTCCTCTGGATTATTGGCATAAAATGGATTACATGTCTAATTTACTGAGATTTAAAAGTTTTGTCTTAAAGAAGGTAAGTGAAATATGGAGCCTAATTAAGGCCCTTGAGAGTAATTCTTGAATATACATTTTTACTGTTAGCAAGTCTTCGTATATATATATATATTTTTTTTTTTTAGATAGATAATACTAGCTCTCCTCTATATATTTAAACTAATTTTTAGAGTCAGCTTGCTGTTGATTATACCAATAGTGCTTCAGCCCTCTGTCACTAACGTGTATTTGCACAGACGAGTCAAATGCATACAAGCCTCCCACATGGAGAGGATGTGACTTAGCTCTAGAAGTCCAGTGTCTGGGACTTGGGAGATCATCTAAAGCAGCAATTCTCAGAAGCTAATGGGCATACAAATTATCTGGAGAACTTACAGAATGTGCGTTCTGATTCAGTAGATCTGACATGGGGCTTGTGGTTCTGCATTTTTAACAAGCTCCAAAGAAATGCAGATGCTATTGACCCCTTGACCAGACTTTGTCTACACCATTTTATTTTACAAACGAGAAAACTGAGTCCTGAAAAGTCTAAATTTTCAAAGCTGGCCTTGATACTTAAATGAAGAGAAGTCTACCATAAACAAAACATTATATCCTGAGGTTATACCTTCCTTAGTATGTATACTTTCCTTATTGGAAGATCTTGAAGAGCAGTAATTATGGGTTGAACCTGTTTTCATCAGCCACAGCACCTATCACAGGGTTTTATCTATAGTGGAGCTTATTCAATAAATATTACTTGAAGGAATTAAACATCAGAAGTGTTTTCTTTGTTTTCATCTCACTAAGTAGCTACAATCCACTTTAATCCCTGCCTGAGCAGCTTCTCTTCCAGTGTTCATATAAGTGGCAGCACCTTATCCCAACAGCTGCACATGGCAGGAGCTAGGAATCCATCCACGGCATGCTTTTGTCCCCAGACATCGAATATATGCAAAATACTTGTTGACTCCACAGGGAAGATACACCTTACATTTGTTCACATCTCTCCATTGCCACTGCAAACTTCCCCATCCAAGCCTCCTTCCATTTCTCCCCAAACCATCGGCTTCCTTCATTTTTCCATTAAACTAAAAACTATCCAATCATTTGCTCAATTCCATTTTTGATATCTCCCCCATCAACTCTCCTCACAGCGTTAAATAAATATTCTTAATATATTAACTGGATCTTGTCACACCCTTACTTAAAACTTTTCAAAGCTTCCCCATCAGAACTAAAATACTAAGCATCCAGAGTCCCTTCCTTTAGCATGTGCAGACCTCTCAAGCCTCACATCACACTAAGCTCACCCAACTCAACACTGACTCCAGCCTTTCTGGTGCCTCAGCCTTATGTGCTGTCTGTTCCCTCAGCCTAAAATGCTTTCTTTTAGATGGAGTTTCGCTCTTGTCACCCAGGCTGGCGTGCAATGGCGTGATTTTGGCTCACCGCAACCTCTGCCTCCAGGGTTCAAGAGATTCTCCTGCTTCAGCCTTCCAAGTAGCTGGGATTATAGGCACACACCACCACACTCGGCTAATTTTTGTATTTGCAGTAGGGATGGGATTTCACCACGTTGGCCAGCTAGTCTCAAACTCCTGACCTCAGGTGATCTCCCTTCCTCGGCCTCCCAAACTGTTGGGACTACAGGCGTGAGCCACCACACTCGTCCCCTACAATGCTTTTTTGTCTACTTTTTACCATGCATTTGTACTCCTCTTTCAATTTAAATATTACATACTAAAAAAGGCCTTCTCTAATCTCTCATCCTACATATAACATTCTGGTCTCATAATAACTCATACTTTTTAAAAATCAGTTCTTATGGTCAAGGTCTTTATATGTGCTTATGCAACTCTGTTTAATTTCTGTACCTCCCAGTAATCTGTAACCACCATAAAGACTAGAAATGTGTTCTGGTTACCCCTTTTTTCTCACTTCTCTATTCTAGCTCATGAAAAATGTTTACTTAATAAATAAGTGAAGCGACCTGACCAAGTCAGGCAGCTGAGAGTTTTCTAGAGATACTGCGGGAAAAGTTCTCCCACGCCAATGTTTTAGTGATTATGCAAATAGGCAATCAGAAGATGAGGAAAGTGAGAGATGACGGAGATGAAGAACAGTTTATTACCCCAATTCACATAGACACATACACTTTACATAGCCAGATACACTCAATGTTTGTGCTCCCCCAAAATTCATACATTAAAATCCTAATGCCCAGTGTTATGATATTAGGAGGTGGGGACTTCCAGAGGTAATTAGGTCATGAGGATGGAGTCCTCATGAATAGGATTAGTGTCCTAATAAGAAGAGACAGGACAGAGATGATTGTCCTCTCCCATGTGAGGATCCGATGGGAAGACAGCCGTCTGCAAACTTAGAAGAGGGCCCTCACCAGATATCACATATGCCTGTGCCTTGACCTTGGTCTTCCCAGCCTCAGAACTGTGAGAAATAAATATTATTCAAGCCACCAAATCTACTTTGTTACAGTAGCCAACAACTAAGACACACATGTGCTTTCACACCACCACCACAATTAACAACAGACATAACCCTGAGTGCTGTAGCTAAAAGAAAATCAGCTAACATTCTGGGATTCATTTGCCTCATCTATCAAATATGTTTATATCAAACTACACTGTAACACTTGAGGGTTTTTTTTTTTTTTTGAGACAGAGTCTCACTCTGTCCCCCTGGCTGGAGTGCAGTGGCACAATCTGGGCTCACTGCAAGCTCCGCCTGGTGGGTTCACGCCATTCTCCTGTCTCAGCCTCCCGAGTAGCTGGGACTACAGGTGCCCACCACCACGCCCGGCTAATTTTTTGTATTTTTTGGTAGAGACGGAGTTTCACTGTGTTACCCAGGCTGGTCTCGATCTCTTGACCTCGTGATCCGCCTGCCTCAGCCTCCCAAAGTGCTGGGATTACAGGCTTGAGCCACCGCGCCTGGCCGAGGGTCTCTAAGATGATAGGCTGACCACGTGGATGTCTCCTTTCCATAAAAATAGCAATTTTACTTCCATTACAACTTTGTGTGTTTTAAGTCTTAAACTGTTTCACTGATGAGAACCACATTTTAAAGTAAAAATAACCCTTGTAAAGGGCAGTGTCAGCCATTATCAGTAAACACTTTATCAATTACTTAAATGACATCCAGGGAAAAGAGGAGTGCTGGATGTACCTACCGTCACCCATACTTTCATCTGTTTGGTCTGCTGCTTGGCAGTTTGAACCACACCTTCATTCTTGGAGCCTTCTCCTACCTTAGCCACCACATATCTGCTGGTTCTTTGACTTATGTAACTACTCCTTGCCACAGTTCTTTTATGCCAATTAAAAGGGACACAATGTTCCTTTTAGAAACCATGAGTAGTATACAGTGTGCATTATACCCATAAGTAGGTATTAAGAAACTAGCTTATTTAACCTAATTAGCTTCTGCTTAGCAGGAAAAATAATTTGGGTCATTCTTAAAATGTGGAATGATTATGTGAAATTATTGCTTAAAGTCACCTAATTTTCATTTCTAAATGATATATTGCCTTTTGTATATATGTTAAAGTGGATATTCATAGATACTGAGCATGTCCTTACCTAGAGACTTTTGTATTCATAAAAACCCATCTGTGCTATCATGAGGCATATTAGTGTCAAAAAGAGAAAAAAATCACTGAATTCAAACCTAGGAAAGATAATATGTGTAGCATTTGCAGAGAATTAAAAGTAAAAGTCTTTTGGGGGCACAAATGTTATAACATTGACTTCTCAGTTTCCTTCTTATTAATTTTTCAAATAACCTTGACCATCTAAAAAGAAAGAGCCCTTTTTCAAATCATATTCAAAGTACCAAGCTTATGGCACCTCAATTTAAAATAACCTCCATATCAAAATCACTTAATCTTTCTACAATGTGTCTCATGAAACTAGTCGACGGCATTTTCACTAACTCTTGCGCTCATGATAATAGCTATGTTACTGTATGTCGTAAGTATTCCTTAATTGGGGAAAACTGCATCTTCCTTTCCCTATCTTATGGACTTTTTCTTTTTTTCTTTTTTTTTTTTTTTTTTTGAGATGGAGTTTCACTCTTGTTGCGCAGGCCAGAGTGCAATGATGTGATCTTGGCTCACTGCAACCTCCACCTCCCAGGTTCAAGCAATTCTCCTGCCTCAGCCTCCTGAGTAGCTGAGATTACAGGCACCTGCCACCACGCCTGGCTGATTTTTTGTATTTTTAGTAGAGACGGGGTCTCACCATGTTGGCCAGGCTGGTCTCGAACTCCTGACCTCAGGTGATCCTCCCACCTTGGCCTCCCAAAGTGCTGGGATTACAAGCATGAGCCACCACGCCCGGCCTAATTTTGTATTTTTAATAGAGACGGGGTTTCACCATGTTGGTCAGGTTGGTCTCAGACTCCTGATCTCAGGTGATCCACTTATGGACATTTTTTAATCTCTTAGATAAATTTTCTTTCAAAGCTATCAAAATTCCATATGCTTGAAATTCTAGAGCTTAACTGGCTACAGATTCAGAAACCAGAGTACCAGGTTCAAATTTTAGATTTACTTCTCACTGATCAAATATTATTGGGCACGTCTCACACTTTTTCAGCATCCTCATAAGGTTACTATAAAAATTTTAAAACTGAATACAAATAAAGCCCCTTTGTGTTCCTAATTTTTCTTGTTCTGCACAATGAGCACTTCTTAGCCAATATTTCAAAGGAGCACACTAAAATTTCCTAAACTAAAAAACTAGTATACCAGCAATGGCACTTACATTTTAGGAGCATCTCTTTTTAAAAAATATTTTAATCAGTAGCTCTTTGTAATATTTATTCTTGGTAACAGATGTTAAATGATGCCATCATATTGAATTGAGGGTAAATATTAGCTCATTTTTCCTATCACATTATAAGTCTAGATGTTTTATCATATCCTTTTGAAATGTGCTGCAGGAATCTAACAGCTCTTTGTCATTTAAGAAAATATTAATTTCTAAACAGATGCAAATATCTTTACAAATACAGGGCATTTAAATCACAACAAGCTAAAGCTGTTGTATTTAGTACTTGAGAGATAAATGTTAAATTATGTCATTCCATAATATACATTTTGTTATACATTGTATTCAAATAAGTAATATACAATGATAATATTGACAGTAAATAATCTGTTGAACACTCACTATATATTAAATGTCATTTTCAAATAATAATCATGTGAACTCTATGACTTAGTGCCACACAACTGTGATTCTCACTATACAATGTGAGGTAACCAGTCCAGCATCCTCAGCTAGTGAGTAAAGGAGTGAGGATTAAACCCATATTGTTACACTCTGAAGTACCAGAAATTAACTTACACTATAAACAGGAGGAATGATTGCATCTGAGAGAGTGCAGTCTGTTCTACAGCCTCATTGTTGGCTGGCCCCATACTCTACTGGGCCAGAAGTGAAGAGAGAAGCCTTGAAGTAGGGCATGGTTCTAGGTGAGCCACGTACAAGGGATTAATGTCTTCTCTGCATTCATGGTTTCTTCTCTCACTTTTGTGAGTCTTTTATGGATAATTTCTTCTCTTAAATACTACCCTGTGATCATGTCATTCAATAAATGAAACCTGTGCTACCTTCCTATTAAAAGAGGACCATTCTACACTTGTCTCTCCCCAACCTCCCTCCCTTTCTTTGGGATGTGTTGGATTTGGAAGTTTTGATAAACTCTGCTCCAGAATTTAGAAAAGCTCCTGTCTTCCACATGCTACTTTTTCTCCCACAGGTTTTATTTTCGTCACTCCTTGAACCCAGTCAAAACTAATGGTGTTAATCCTTTTCATACCAAAATTAGAAGGTCAAATGTCAGTGACAAACACCTACATTTTGTACTGTGCTAAGGGGACAAGAGGCACCTGTGGCCCACTGCTGGTCAGGGACAATTTACCTAAAAATTACACAGGAGTTGACATCAAAGCCCAGTTGAAAATCAAAAGTTTTTTCTGATCTGCTCTGTGCACACATCTTCTGAGAATCATTTTGGAAGTGGCTGAAGACAGGGCAGAATTTGGGTTCAGGATTCATGGGCAGGCTTGAGATTTTAACTATCTGCCTCTCTTTTTCACCATGTCATCACCATAAGTACCCATCAGGCCTATAGTAACTATTTTCTTTGATAGCTTCATGTGTGGTCTCATTCTGACATTGTACCTACCACAGTAGCAGGGTGAATTAGCAGAATACCACATGATCTGTCTTATTGCTCAAAACCTTCAAGACTTAGATGATGTGGTTGTACCCTTAATCATTCCATATCTTCTTAAACGATACTGTATGTTTTAGTGTTATTTTTCTGTGTAATTCAATGTAAGCTCTACAAAGACAGCTTTTATGCTCAATCCCACTCGAGAGATATTGGGTGTGCAAAAATTGTATCATGCATCGTTTAGAGTTTATAATCTAATAGTAAAGCAAAGATATATATTATTAAGAATGTTAAATAGTACAAAGGTTAGATATCACTGCAAAAATGTGTTCGTATCAGTACACAATGAGTGTAGTCAAACACATGCTGAGACTCAAAAGAGAAATAGTTTGCCATGAAAGATGGTAGTGGACATGCAGACTTTGCAGAGGAGACTTAGACTTACCTTCGGGTTAACAGGAGGATTTAAACAAAGACAGTGAGAAATAACAATCATGATAACTGGGAATATAGACATAATAATTAGTTGTTAATACTAGAATAATCAAACAATTTTTAACAATTTTGTTTATTTTACAAACATCACAGCTCTGCCATGCCTCAGGACCTCTGCAATTTTTCCCTCTGCCAGCAATTCTCTTAATCCAGATTTTCTCAGATGACTCCTCCTCTACTTCTGTTTCAGCAAATCGTCCTGATCATTTTTTCTCTCCAGCTGTCCCTATCACTTTAGTGTATTTTTTCATAGAATATATGAATGTCTAAAGTATTCATTTTTTTCTTTTTGTCTTTTTCTCATATTGGGAGCTTTTATTTATTGCTGTATTCCCAGGGGCTCGACCAAGTAGCAAATACTCAGAAATTGTGAGATGAATGAGTCACAATGACTGTTAAATTATATCGCATTATTGAGAATGAAATGTCCAAAGGGGAGGGGAGGTGGAGAGCCCACAGCATTTGCAGAACTAGCACAATATTTGATTCACAGTAGATATTCATAGACTCTCAATCCAGTTGATACTCAGTAAATGTTTTTTGAACCCACCTGAATTAATAAATTTTCAGATAATCTTAGATAGAATGGAGAGCTCTGATAAAGGAATAACACAGAAAAATTACATATAGGTTGGAGTCAGATTTTGAAGGGACCTTAAATGTTAACCTAAGAATTTTGTGATAAACTTGTGATAATAGAGAATAATTAAAGGTTTTTGAGCAGTAGGGCATTATAATAAAAGTAGTTTGGGGAATAAAAAATCATGGAATTTGAGTCTGATAACATCATGCGGTATGGTTAGCCTTAGAGAAAGAGAAACTAAAGACAAGAAGATTTCTTGAGGACCAATTGCAGTAGTACACCAAACATACCACATACCATAACAAACTCCTGTTCAAAAATGAGACCAAAAAGTCAATATATACTAAACTGACATGTCTGTTTACCTAGTTCACTATGAAATGGCTATTAGGCAGATAGACATATATAACTGTAAATACATTTAGAGGTTAAAGTGGGAGATAGGCTAACATTTTCCAAGTATGTTCCACAGGATGTTAGGAGATACTGAGCAATATATAAAAAGAAAAGGAAAAGTTGTCATGGCCAAATAAGTATGAGATTGAGAAGCACTGAGTCAAATATTTCCCTACTGTAGAATATCTGAGTCTTTAATCTTCCATGTGCATCATAAATCTCAATATAGTAGATTCATAAAGTTCCCCAAACATTTAAGCATCATTTTGTTTATTATAAAACATTTACTATGACTCTTATTTTACAGAAATAAAAGTGGGGAAGGCACAGATCATTGTGTTGGTTTGCTAGGACTGCTATGGCACAGACTAGGTGGCTTTTACAACAGAAATTTATTTTGTCACAGTTCTGGAGGCTGGAAATCCAAGATCAAGGTATCAGCATTTTCTTTAGAGGCCTCTCTTCTCGACTCTCAGGTGGCTACCTTCTCAGTGTCCTCACATGGCTTTTTCCTCTCTGAAAGCATATTCCTGGTGTATCTGTGTATGTGCAAATTTTCTTGTATTATAAAAACACCAGCCAGATTGAATTAGGGCTCACCCTAGTGGCCTCATTTTAACTTCATTTTAACTTGCTCACCTCTTTAATGACCCTTTCTCCACAGACAGTCACATTCTTAGGTGGGGATTAGAGCTTCAACATATGAATTTGAGGGGAACACAGTCTGGCCCAAAACAACCATCAGTACAATCAGCATGTGTGAGAGTCTCCAAAGAAGAAAAATTAAAGCCAAAAGAAACTGGGTCCCAAAGGCTGACGTAGAGGAGACCCACAGTTAAAATATAGCAAGAAGAAGCCACAAAAAGAGGTCAGAAAAGTAGAAGTGCTGCCAGGACACTAAAGTAAAGAATCAGTTTCTAAAAGTCTCCAGTGCAATGTCAATATGTTCAAAAGCTGTAATAAGCAAAAGAGAAAAGAATTCAGAAGAGGTAACTTAAACTGACAGTTCAAGAATATTGGTTGCCTTTGGGAAACGGGTAAAGTGGATTGGAGATAGAGTATAAAAGATTAGGAATTTACATTTAATTGTAAGAAACTAAATTCCATGTTTGAGAAATCTGGCATTAAAAAGAAGAAAATAACTTTTAGGATGCAGTTAACAAAGTTGAGGTTGAACCACATAAATCTGTCATTTTTGTAGGCCGAAAAATAATCAATTATCAGCAATTTCATATGGTTCAATCTAAAAAACGGTCTGTTTTCAAGAAAGTTCCGAAATATATAAGGGAGTGGTAAGGAATTCTTGGGAAAGGAGATATTGAAGAAGCAAGGAGTTGAGAAGTTTGAGGAGAAACCAGATATTGGAAAAAAAAAACAACAACAATGAAAAATCTTTTTTTTTTCTTGAGACGGAGTTTCACTCTTGTTGCCCAGGCTGGAGTACAATGGTACAATTTCTGCTCACTGCAACCTCTGCCTCCTGGGTTCAAGCGACTCTCCTGCGTCAGCCTCCGAAGTAGCTGGGATTACAGGCATGCACCACCACGCCCGGCTAATTTTGCATTTTTAGTAGAGACAGGGTTTCACCATGTTGGTCAGGCTGGTCTCAAACTCCTGACCTCAGGTAATCCACCCACCTTGGCCTCCCAAAGTGCTGAGATTACAGGCATGAGCCACTGCTCCCGGCCTTGAAAAACCTTTTAGAATGAAAATCATTTTCAATTAGGAGGGAAGTTTATAAAAAGGGTAATGGATAAACCATGATCAGATGGGCTCAAATTTTGAACTGTCAAAAAATTTTAAATAGCAGTCTCTATGTCTATATATTTCATAAGTGTTTGACAAATTTCTGCAAATATTTCTTTAGTATGGACTCTAATTCTAATATTTTATTACTCTGAGAGCTGATATTTAATTTCATAGTATCTTATCTAAAAGAGTATGACCTACAGTTTTAAAAGAGTAAAAGATATAAGATTTCAACTTTATAATTTTTTTGTAAAGAAGGTGATGATATTGTAATATTAAAAATACAAGGCATTTTTCAACATTTCACATAATGCAAAGTCTATGCAATTAGCCTATCAACATTTCCCTATCTGCTTACAAATCTCAGCAGGATTCCCAAGTTCACACAGTAATTGTGACCTCAACTAGTATAGAGGAAATAATCTGAAAAAATGCTTTTCCAGTTGATATGATGGGAAGATAACACAAATAATTGGATTATCTAAATTCTTTACTAACAGTTACCAAATATGGATGAAATTCTGACACAGTAAATAAGTAGCAGCTGTATAAAATTTCAAGCAAAAAGCCATAGGTTTTTACTATTTCTCCTACCCAAAGGAAGAAAAAGTTCCCCTCATATTTGTTCTGTTTATTTCCAACCTCAATTAGAAATACTCTCAAAGTATTGTTACAGTAATAAATATGGCATGTCCTTAAACATAAATTTAATTGGAAAATTTCAGAAGGAAAATAATATTTAAAATCAAAATAAGCAAAAACATTATGGAGTATTATACAATTGTATATAAGCTTTAATGATAAGGACTTTAAAATATTTATATTCAGCTGCCTGCTTGTGTCTATGCATCCTCTGGGGAATAGTACAAGTTCTCCACATTATTTGTTCTCCTCAGGCATTGGGCTTTCTTTCTTGGATCAATCTGAGAACTGCTAAGTGGAAATAAAAAAGGTTCTTGCTCATCTAAACATTCAACATACTATCAGGGATAATATTAGCACCAAGCTTTTCATGTACAAGAAAAACTTGTCACTTAAGAGAGTTGTTCATACGAACAGATTACTAATTTTAGTTACATAACACAAAACTTCTGTAGCTGGACATGTATAAACATGAGTTTTATAGAATGAGTCTACAGTATTTTCAGAACCAACTACTCAATAAGATACACAGTCAGTCATACCCACTTACCTAGGAAAAATTAAAGATTAACAGACTTAACATTAAAATTGACAATCAAGTAAAGCTGGAGGACCAGCTCCTGAAATGGCAGGATAACTAACCATTTAGATAATGCAGTCCAAAGTTTGAGTAGTAGAACCAATAATTTAAAATTAAATAAGTGAAAAAGGAAAAGGACAAATTTAGCCTTTTCAGTTTCTCTCTTTAATAAGTGTTTTGTCTTTCCATTTGCATTTCCATAGTGCCTTTCTTCTAAGATATGCAGAATATATCCTTGATAGAAAAGTATTTCAATATTCATCCAAAAGAGTATGCAAGTAGAAGGGTACAAGAACCACTCTTGTTTTATAGATGGGGAAAGTATTGTCAGGTGACCAAAATTAAAATTAGATTCCTCTCTTCCAATTATCTCAAGGAAATATTTCTTAGGTCTTATCCTAAGTTTTATAATAAGTCAGTTGTCATAAATTAAATTTTAAACGTATATCCTAAATAACAAATGACATGAAGAAATGAAAAATTAAACTATCTTTTCCTATGTATTTACCTGATGAGCACATTTTGGGAAAAGCATGTATTGGAGATTTCTGATTCAATGACAGATAGAAAACCAAATATATCTTTTAGCAGAGATAAATTAGACATGCACCAGACTTATTTCTTCTGTACAGAGACACAGCTCAACTGTATTTCTGAGCCTCCCTTGAATTTTGTGATAGCCACATGTACAAATATGATATGTATGCAGCTCCTTGCTCTGGAGTTGCCTTCCATCCTATCCGCTCTCTTTCCAAAATCTACAGGGGACACAGGAGGCCACAGAGGTCCTAAAGGATGGTAGAACATCAAGCTGGAAGGGGGCTGGATTCTGAAATGACCACATAGTGAGAAGTTGCCCCCTTACACTGCATGTCTCTTGATTAGACTGTGATGTTGGTAGGATTGAACATCCATTGTGTTAAGTCCATGAGATCTGGGGACATTTGCTATATTTAGACTGCTCTAAGGAGCAGAATGTGCTTATATTCCAATGCCTCCATAAAATATATTGAAATGCTAATGAAAAGAAAAAAATTCCAAAAAGGCAAAGAAAAGAGGAACATGTTTTTAAAAGCTCATTATTCTGAAGCTGAAAAGTGAACCGAGGAGAGAGAACATAAAGCAGAGGAGTTGAGGCTGAGAGTTAAGGAGATGGCAATAATAAGGAGAAGCTGAGCCAGGTTTACCTGAATTCCTGAATTTCTTAGTTCCTGGAGGTACTAACCTAAAAGGCCACAGTTAGGTAGGCGTTCAAAAGAGGGAGTTGATTGAAAGTCTTAATTAGGAGGAGTCACACCATAGATCTTTATTCCCTAAATCTCGGGAATATAACATAACTATATTTGCTGGACAAATTGAATTAGGACATACCAGAGCCAGTGGAGAGGAGAAGTCAGGTATCAAAATTAAAACAGTGTAATTAAATAAAGCCTGCACAAGAGTGGTGAGGCCTTCCCAGAAAGCTCACTCCACACTGCCCCCAGAGCATTGACATCTAGACATACACACTAATACAAGAGTAATGGATTCTTCATTAGAGAAACTAAATGACTGAGAAAAGTCCTACATAGATACTAATAGGATTGGATACATAGGATACTAATAGGCTCTTTCTGTGGAAATTCTGGAAGTTTTCTTTAGAATGCCTCCAGAATTAAGAACCTTTTCATCTACAACCACTACCACACACACATTCACCAATGTTTTTTGTCATTTTTTTAGGTTTCCCTCTCAAAAGTCAAGGAGTACGACGGTTTTGAGAAAATTCTTCAAGGTCAAACACAGAGAATAAAACAAGTGAAAAAATAATAATTTAGATGAAACAAAGGTAACAAAGGTAACACAGGTAGCATATGAAAACTAATCATCATCATCATTGTAATTTTGCCAGATAAGTGAGAAAAATACTAAATTCATAATCAGAAATAGAATATTATGTACAAAATTAATCAAAGAACAAAAGTGAGCTCCTGCATAGTTAAAATAGGATTATTTTAAAAATTGAAGAGAGTCTTAGTCTGTTAAGGATGCCATAATAAAAGTACCACAAACTGAGTAACATATGCAAGGGAAATTCACGTATCCCAGTTTGAGAGGATCAGCGTCAGCAGATTTGGCCAGTGCTTGGTGAGGGTCCTCGTCCTCATAGGTACTGACTTGTAGCTGTGTCCTCACATTGCAGAAGGGGCGAATTAGCTTTCTGGGATATCCTTTATCATGACCTAATCACCTTCCAAAAGCCCCATCTTTTAGTATTGTCACATTAGGTAGGTATGAATTTCATATGTATCTTTGTATGAATTTTGAGGGGACACGAATATTCAGACCACAAGCAAAGAGTTCTGGCATAAAGTTGAAAAAATCTACAAAGTTGAACAAAACAACAAAAATAGAAAGATTTAGAAGATCAAGCTCAAAAAGCCACTATGTAACCAGTAGAAATTAAGCAAAGAGAAAATTTAGAAAGTGAAAATTACAAAACAAAATCAAAAAAAGATAAAACTGAAAATCATTCAAGTTGGATATTCTCACTGAGTGGATTCAAATTCCTAAAAGGGTAAAAATGATATTTAGCCTAGAGTTTTACATCTGGCTATGGCAGTTGTTTAAAAACCCCATGCTGTAAGAAAGCCCAAGCCACAGGGAGAGGTCACATATAGGCATGCCGGTCTATCATTTCCACCAAACCCAATCTAAGGCCAGATCTGTGAGTGAAGAAGTTCCAAATGATCTCAGCACAGCCATTTGACTCTTTCTTAGCCTTCTGAACCTTCCCAGATCAAGTTCTAGACACTGTGGAGTTGAGACATGACATTCCACTGTGCCATGCGCCAATTCCTGCCCGACAAACTTTGTGAGCATAATAAAGTGGTTGTTATTGCCACTAAATTTCAGGGTGATGTGTTACACAGCAATAAATAGCAAGAACAGCAGCTAACCCATCAACTGAATGGTGACATTTTCAGACATCTGAAGAATCACAATACAGTCTCATAACATTTCAATGATGAATCTCATATACAAGAGGATATATATATACATATACAACAATGTATATATATACATATACAACATACACACATATAAAACAAAGGTTATAATACCATATTTTTACTGTGCCTTTTCTATGTTTAGATATGTTTAGGTATAAAAATACCACCCATTATGTTACAATATCCTATAGTGTTCAGTACAGTAACATGCTGTACAGGTTTGTAGCCTAGGAGGAATAGGATATACCATATAGGCTAGGTGTGTGGTAGGCTGTGTCATCTAGTTTGGGTAAGTATGATCCATGATGTTCACACAAGGATGAAATCACCTGAAACATTTCTTAGAAAGTGTCCCTATTGTTAAGCCATGAATTACTGTATTTATTTTCCAAACATAATTTTGTAGGAAATTACCATAGGAAATTACTCTGGCAACATTATGGGTGAGCCAAGAAAGGGAAACATCAGATCCATAAAGCAGGGAATCCAGCACTGGACTCCAGGAAGGAAGGCCCAGGGATTACAAACTCTGTACCAGAACTTCCGGGCAAATGATCAAACTTCAGCAAGAGCATGGAGGGCCATGGAAAGAAGGTCTCTAAGACAAAAATATTAAATTATAGAGAGTTTGAGCACCTTGAATAATTATTAGTAGTAAATATTTGACAGATCCACTGTAGCCTTTGGAACAAATGTTGATAGGTAAATATGAAACTAAACAAACAAAGCGATTATTAACCTCAGAAGTAATAAAAAATATTGGAAAAGGCAGCAAATATAACAAGGGACAAGTATTCCACTATCAAAACATAAAGTCAATAGGTAATATCAAAAGTTGATTTAATAAGTAGTAACATATAGACACATGGATATAATAGGAAGAACATGCAGATTGAAAATTAATAGTATTTGGCTATGGGAGAAGAAGAGTATATAGAAGGTCTGAGGAAAGGGATTGCTGTATTCATAATAAAATCTTCTAGTATTCTTTTAGTTTTGCTGGATAACACATTCCAAAGTTATATAGTATGCACAGAAATCCTAATCAAGCAATACGAGTAAGCAAATTTAGCATGGTAAACAGAGAGCTAGTTTTCCTGTCAAGCAGACATCATTTGCATTCAGCCTCTTCCACTGACTGTGCTAGGTAAATTATTTATTTAGCCTTTCTTAGCCTCAGTTTCCATATGGAAAAAAATGAGGATAATATGTTCATGTTGTGAGAAATAAACAAGATAATGATGATAAAGAAACCAGAATATAGAAGTCTTAATGTGTGAGCTCACTTTCTCCCTGCCTTTTGTGTTTGCAGCTATGTGAAGAAATATGTGAATATCTTGTACTCTTTAAGAAAGATCACCAAAATTAACTTAAATTTACACCATAGATATCTGACATCTACAAGACCAAATCTAAAATATATGTAATTCAACAATCTTGTATTACATTCATCCAGTGAAGGTGTTCAACGTATTAGAATAGATCTTGCCATTCACTGAAGATAATGTATTACATGAAATGGCAGAAAATTAACAATTACATTTTTTTGTTCTCAGAAATTTCACTGAATGAGTTACCCAAATTACATAAATTTCTCATGATTACGATGTTTTCTCCATATGGATAAAAGAGAGTGATGCTGGTTACCTATTTGGAGCCATAAAAATGAAGTACTATCTGTGCAAAGTGCACTGGCTTCTTGAAAAAGAGTGTTGCAACATGAAAGTATTTTTTAATTTAATGGAAGGCTTTGTGCTGTATGGACTGTTTACATGGACCAAATCCAGTTCTTCCTTCCCAGAGATCTTTCACCTCTTCTTTTCTGAGCATTAATGCTGTCTTGGATTAAAGGAATACCACACAAAAATGGCTTTTTCTTCTCAAATACATTATTTTTATTATAGCATGGAGTACAAATTATTAGAGTTTGAATCTCTCTAAGAAACTGTACCTAGATAGAGTGAGACAATATAACAATTAGATCCAAGGCATCCCTGGATTTAGACTACTACCATTTCACAAACTTTAAAGTGCATAAGAATCCCTTGGGGATCTTGCAGGTTCTAGTTTCGTAGGTCTGGAATTAGAGCCTGAGAGTCTGTATATCTAACAAGCTCCCAGGGAATGCCTATTTAGTTGAATCTCAAATCATTTTGAGAGGCAAAGATTATATAAGGCAGTGTCACCATGCTAATATGATGTAGGCCATGCAAAAAATATTACCCACCATGCTAAACATTACCCATTTTTTTCCAATATCTATGCTGAGAGTCACAACCAAGGTCCCGTGATTTGAAGAAAGCTATTGCCTTCCGCATTAAAACAACAGGTTGCAAGTGAGCCGAGACTGAAAATGTATCATCTGCTCAGGTTATTCAATGCCTTGCTGAGTTCAATCAGGCTCTCTTCATCCTCCATTACCCTCATTAGTCCTGTTAGGTTAGTGCTCAATGTTGATCTGTATCTTGGTCAAGACAATTGTTGCTGATTAACTATAATTACTAGTAATGGGACCAGCTTTCTTTCAGAGATTATGCCTTCAGCTCATCCGAGCATTGTTCGTCCATGAAAGGTCCCAATCTTCTAGTCATTTACTTGCTTATTCTGTGAACCAACAAGTTGCTTCATGTGTGGGCTCTTAAATACTGTCCCCTATGTCTAAGCACTCTGAGTATATTTTATCTTTTCTTTTTCTCCCTATCTTGTTCTCTTTGTGTCAATTTTTTTCTCTCAATTTCAGAGCAGAATAAGTTGTATAAAAAAAACCTATATGTAATACTTATGTAAAATTCTGGAAGCAACAACAACAAAAGAATAATTAAAGGCACATTAAATCATTATTTATTTGAAATGTTAATCTTTTGAAAGATAAAATTTTGTATATTAAAGATGACAACACAAACTGCTAACAATATGGGCTGATTAATAAATTATGAAATTGAACACCATTTATTTTACTAATCTGGTGACACATAGAAATGATTTCTTATATTTAAATTTTTAAAAATTTGCTTAGGAAATAAATGTATTGCATAGTCTCTTGATGTACATTCAAATCCATTACTTTCTGTAAGCAATTCTAAAAAAAAGCAGATAATCCTATATTTAAAAAAATTCTAGTTTTAATCATTTCCTAGTTTTACCTTATATTGAGGCACCTGGCATGAATTTTTGCCATTTGCAATGAAATCTAGTGGGTGCTTAAATGTACTTGTGACAATAATAGTGTTTGAGAAAATAGTGTGGCAACTCTTTTTATAAAAATATAATATTCCTCACAATTATAGTAGAATCCAATATAAAACAGCAAGCCTCAGAAGACATCTAAGAACATAGAGTGAAATATGTTAAAGGGTACTTAGCATAAAGCACACATGTGGTAATTCTTCAGAGAAGTAAAATAGATGGCTAGAAAGAGAAGCACAAGAGACTGGTGTTTGAGATGTCTCTACCACTTAAACCATCTCTTTATGTCTCAATATTTTCATATATGAAATAAAGAAATTTTTGAAAGTCCTCCATGCCTCAGTTGTTGTGAAAAATAAAAATATATTTGATGATCCTTAGAAAAGTTTATGGTGTATTGTATGAATTACGTAACTGACGTTAATTGAAATTAAATCATCTCCTAGAAAATTATTGATTTAAATAAAATGATTTGATTTTTACAGTCTCTCAAAAATCTTCATTTTCTTCACATTGGAAATAAGACTATTTTTTAATGTCACTTAATACCTGATTCTAGCAAATCAGTCTAATCTCATTCCCAAAACACATGACCATCTGGCTCCACAGAAATCAGCTAAAAACAAAATGGTTGAAAATAAATTTTCTGAAGTGACAAAAACGAGTAAAATAAAATGGCTCTTACAATCAAAAATTCTAAAATGCACATATTTTTATTTATTTGTAATGTTTTCTTACCATGGGATGGCCTAATAATTTTTTGTCTGTTCCAGTAATATCTATGGGTTTTATTACTGTTTTAACCCAGCATTTTTTTTACAGTCTTTATTTTTAGAGCAGTTTTGGGTTCACAGCAAAATTCAGTGAAAGGTATAGTCACTTTGTATCTCCTGCCCCACACATGCACAGCTTCCCCCATTATCAACATTTCCCACCAGAGTGGTACATTCGCTACAATTGACGAGCCTATATTGACATATGATTATCACCTAAAGTCCACAGTTTACATTAGGCTTCTCTCTTTTTGAGCCACGAACAAGTCAGAAAAGCCAACAATTTATTTTCATATTTTATTATACAAGAATATATGAGTAGTAGTTATTATATCATCCTGTCAAACATGTACTAGATTTCATTCTTATTGCTTAATTGT
The DNA here is from genome assembly GCF_000001405.40 of Homo sapiens. NCBI lineage: Eukaryota > Metazoa > Chordata > Mammalia > Primates > Hominidae > Homo > Homo sapiens. The sequence goes on from NC_000004.12 coordinate 111,612,760, forward strand.
CTATGAGACCTCTAGCCCTACCTGATAAGCTCTATGAGTACAAGGACTCTGTCTCTCTTTACCAGTATGTAGCATAGGGTCCTAGTACACAGTTAGGAGGAAATAAATATTTGTTGAACAAATCAATGAATGAATCAGCCTTGTCACTTTGCTTAACTAAGAATCTAATCATATTTCAGAATGAATTAAGCATTTCAACAAAAATCAATGTAAAAATTATGTCATACTATTAAGCATTAAAGAGTATTCACATGCCAATAAAATAATTTAATGTGGTATAAGTGTACCTTGCAATTACTTAAAATTCTTTGTAGAAATACAAATGATGCAGAGAATCCTTGAGAACCAGAAATCATATTTCATATTAATGACTTTGTCAAGTGTTGCAATAAGAAGAGCATTAGGTAGTAATTGAAATGTAACTATATAATATAGAAGTAGATAAGTCAGTAAACATAGCTTCATTGAATATAATCTACAAGAGTATTTAGAATTATATAATACACAGGGATTACAGTAGTAATTATTTGCTTTCCTCTCAAGGAAATACAAATTATTGAAGTAATATTTATATATCATTGACATTTTATCAGGGAGATAAGTCACTGTATTAGAAACAGTATTTTTGTAACACTTCTTGCTATTCTAATGGGCAGGACAACATAAGACACTATGTGTCAGCCAGCTTCATCTAGATCTTGTAAGATCTGGAAAAATACTGAAACAAACTAACCAAGGTTTTCAAAAGCTATGCCCAAAAGATGATAAATATCTGTATGATAATTAAACTGACAATTTAAAGAACATGTTTCCATGTGTTCTCATTGTTCAACTGCCACTTATGAGTGAGAACATGCGGTGTTTGGTTTTCTCTTCTTGCATTACTTTGCTGGGAATGATGGTTTCCAGTTTCACATGGGCACAGGGAGGGGAACATCACACACCCAGGCCTGTCAGCGGTGGGGAGCTGGGAAAGAGATAGCATTAGGAGAAATACCTAATGTAAATGATGAGTTGATGGGTGCAGCACACCAACAGGGCACATGTATACTTATGTAACAAACCTGCACGTTGTGCACATGTACCCCAGAACTTAAAGTATAATTAAAATAAATAAATAAATAAACCAATCATTTCAACATGAAAAAAAGAACATATTATATTGGCTCAATTTAATTTGTATGTACGTAGAAGTACTAGGTACAAAATTTGGAAAATAATATTTGTACAGGTGCAGTGTCCCTCGTCTGAAAAATCCAAAATCCCAAATGCTCCAAAATCTGAAACTTTTTGGGTGTCAACATTACATTCAAAGGAAATACTTATTAGAGTATTGTAGATTTAAGATTTTTGAATTAGGAATGCTCAGTTGAGTAAGTATAATGCAAATATTCCAAAATATGAAAAAAAAATCCAAAATCCAAAACACTTTTGGTCCCAAGCATTTTTGCTAAGAGACACTGTGACACTATTCATTTCAGCATTAGAAACATTTCTGATTTTATCCTAAAGATCTCTTATGATTTACATTAAAACCGGCTCATAAAATTTTCTGTAATACATTCTTACAGTATTCATAAGTGGTTAGTTGCCAATATAAGAAAGTAAAAAGGGACAACACAGGAAAGTTGCAGAGAGCTCAGAATATGCCTAGGATTGGTCTATCAGTATTTTAATAAAATAATCTGAAAATGGAATATAAATATTAATATTTTCTGCTAATGGTGGAATGTAGTGAAATGTGGCTAGTTTTACTGAAAATATGCAAGAAATTAAAATTATTCTTTTCTGGTTTTTATGTAATCAGAGAGGGAAGGAAAGTATTCTCGTTATCAGAAATATATACAAAGAAAGCTACTGAGCAAATTATACTGCATGCATATTTATGATTTTATAGTGGAGATATAAAAGTACCTGAGATATACTGAAATGTTGTGTGTGTGTTGGGGGTAAGGGAACCTCTTAATGTCTGTTGAAATCTCCTAAAGGAAAAACTAAAAACGCCTCTGGAAATACTGTGCTCTATTAACCTTCTCTATAACTCTATTTCAACTCCTCCCTCCAGCTACCACTCCACTTTTGCCATTCATTGAGATAATAATACCCATTTTTTCAAATTGTTAATCACCACCATCTCAGCCACCATCATGAATTCTATTATTTCAAGATATTATTATCCCCATTGCTATCAAGGAATCCAGTTCTGCAACAGCATCTCCTATTATCAGCCATGGCCTACGAAAGAGAGTCACACTAAGATTTCAATGATACTGATACCTCTGTCACCAGTTCATTTATTACTTACATTTTAAAAAGTCTTCTGGGCCCTTTTGGACAATATATCCAGATACTAGGTTTTCCAGTCTTATATGGAACTATATGGTACTACTTCTCTGAAGTAGATACCATGCCCACTTCTATGAGCCTATTGATCCTATTCTCTACTATCTTCTAATGCAGTGCCAGCATTATTTCTTCATTTATTACAAGACTTTGTCCTGTTTTTTCCCTCTTAGTCTTCAATAACCATCTTAGCTCTTTGCTAACACCATATTTGGGATTGACGTCAGTGTTTTAAATTCTGTATCACAGGAAAGTGTTTCCATATTGAAAAATTCTTCCTTATTCAACTTGGTAATAACTCTCCTTACTCAATCTCTGTCCACTTGATCCAGTGCCCTTAGGATCACGTCTCTTGCATACTCCTTAGATTCTAGCCAGTATGTTAGCCACACATTGCAGCTCCTTTGGCACTAGTCCCACTCCTGCCTTAGGAAGCCCAGCAATCTTCAGTTGGGCTATGCTGGGATTTGATGTTTGCTGTTGCATTGGTTGGCCAGAATGGAGGTGCTAGATGCTGAAAGGGGCATGTATCGTCTTATAAGCTACCTACCTCACACAAGATGACTTCTCTGGTCTTCAAGCAAGCAGTCTTCTAACAAGGGAGCACTCTTCCAATAGACGGCCACATCTGCAGGCCCAGGAGGTTTAGAGGAATCGGGGAGTTTGTTTCTCAACTGCATCTACCCAGAATTCCCCATTCACAGTCTCAGGATTCCATTCTTTCCCTGATTTTGGCATAAGAGGTATGCTGGCAGTAAGAATTCAACTTTCTCTGAAGCTGCATTACTCTTAGGATTAAATCCTGAGCCTGACTCTTACTTCTGTCTGCCCTCAGCTATGACATGAAAGTTTCCTTCAATGCTTCCAAAGAGGCCCTCAGGCTTTCACAAATTGGTAATTCATCAGCCCAAGCTTATCATTATCTCTCTCAGTGCTCTGTAACAGCTTCACAATTCTGTATTCCTAATAATAGTTTTCTCTCATTTTTCTCATGCCTCTCAAGCATCATCAAACATACTGCATCCTGCTAGTGCAGTATCTTCCTCAGTACCCCACCTCAGTTCGCCACCAAGACAAATTCTAACAATTTCAGGGGCTAGCCATCCTCTGCCTACCACCAGTGTTGAAATTCTTAATGCCAATAAGTCAATAAGTAATCCACCTCAAAAATGCTATCTTAGGTTCTTCTTCCTAGAACCATTCCTGGTACCAAAAGTTCTTGATTGGGTTTCTTAGATACAGAGCCTGAGACAGAGAATTGCATAGAAAGGTTTCTGGCTGAATACTCTCAGAAGATATACCTGGAAGAAATTGAGGAAGGCAATGTTGGGCAAAGGAGGAGCTTGACCTGCATGTGGTTACAACTGAGGTTTCAACTAATCCTGCAGCCCCTGGAGCCAGGCTGCGCCTTTATTATCATCTCTAATTGAAGCAAGTTGTCTCAGTTTTTTTATCCCCATCTCAGTTTCTTTAGCCCCACATCAGCCAGTGATTGGTCCACAGGCTGAGTCATGGAAGGGAGGCATAACCTTGTGAGAGGCAGTCCCTATGACCTCTGGAAACTCCTAGTGAGGTGCACGGTTGTGACTATCAGCAGCAGATATTCTCACTAGCCAAGGGGATGAAGGCACAGCACAAATAAAGGACTCACTACAGCTGAAAACAAGGTGAACTTAAGAAAGCCATAAATGCCCTTCTTAAAAAAAAAGATGGAAATGAAAAGGGGATTGGATGGTGGTGATTAAATTATTTATTTAAATAATATTACTGTTTTATTATAATGTAGTGGTAAAACAATTCATATCCAATACTGTATAGTATCACTGCATATTACACAAAAACATACCCACTAATGAGTTTATAAAGTGTTGCATAATTTTGGTAGTTGGTCTTTTAAAATGCTATGTATTATTCAGAAATTTACAAAAGACTGTTATATAAGGATTTGAATGTTTTAGGGTTTTAAGTGGATTGATATTTTCTCATCGGATACAATGGCATATGAGTTCCTGCTCTCTGAGTACATTTTCAGGAATGATTTGGGAATCTATATTCTCCAGAAAGAGTAACCCTATTAGTTGTCTTACCTTAGGAGTAATTAATAATATGAGATATTATTAATAAATAAGAGTTCTGAGTATAGGGCAAAGGGATAAGAAAAGTCACTTATGAAGCATTTCAAGAAAGAAATTTTGACTTTTAGTTCACTTTGAACCATTATTAAAAGCCTACTGTGTAACAGGCTTTGTGCTATGTTCTAAGTATGTATGAATAAATAAAGCGTAAGTTCCATCCTCAAGGAGGTTTCTGTATAGTAGGGAGACACAACAAGGTAAGCAAGTGACTGCAGTTTAATTTGTGAGATAGAATAGTAGCAGACTTATTGTGGTGCAAATATGGAAATGATCAACTGTGGTTGATCAGTGAGGAGAAAACCTCTGAATGGGGACTTGAAGTATGAAATCAGTTTGCAATATATGTGTATGGGGAGGCAAGGAGGATTACGGGGATAACAAAAAGGGAATTTTAACAAAAGAGAGATCTATTTAAAGGTACTAGAAGAGAAACGGAAAAAGGGGGAAATCTTGAAGATTAGCTCCAGAAGAAATTGAATAGGTAACAAGATTGACATGGAATGAATGAGACCTAATTAGGAGTTTCTGCTCTTTACTCCCCAGCGTCTTTTGATTATATCTTTTAAAGCAATTATTACATTCTATGACAACTTCTCTATATTATACTAAGAGATCGGTGAAGTTAGAGTTTGTGTCTTGGTCACCCCTCTATTCTCAAAATCCCTGAAACCTAACATTATGCTTGATACACAGTAATATGAATGTTTTGAATTTCATATAGATAAAATGTACCAAGAATAAATACTAATGATAATAGTAATAATAATTAACAGTTAATATTTTGGGAGCATTTAGTATTTATATTAGTAAATAATGCAAAGGCATTATTTAGATTTATTTAATTTGCATAACTCTATTACTTACATACAATTATTATTCACAATTTACAAATAACAAAACAGAGGTACAGAGAAATTAATAACATATCCAAGGTCAGAGAGCTAGTGGATGGTGTCCCATCACTTAAATCAGAAAGTGTCTGGGTGCATGAAGAGTTAGAAGTGAGGACACAGGGTATAGAAGAAGGGTTCAGAAAAGAAAGTATTCAAGGCTAAGGAGGAACTGTGTTTCACAGTATGATCTAGGCTGACTGGAACTAGTCCGCTTTCTCTCCTGTGGGTTCTGCAGGTTGTTGGCCCTCTGGCTTGAATGCAGATTTATTAGGTAGCTGGCAATCTCACCCAATTTTGATGTTCCTAGTCTCTTCCACATAATTCACCCAAATCAGCAAATATCTTTCCAGCCTCTTCTTACTCTCTCCTATCAGGAAAAAGAGAACAGCGAGGAGAAAAGGATAATAGAGGAAAAGAGCAGAAAGAAGCCATTTATATCTGACTGCTGCTGTGGGAGTTACAGAATCTCCTTCTTCAACTTGGGCCCTTTGCAGGTATTCTCCAACCTCTTTGTCTATATTTTGATGACCTTACTCATGAGAACTTCTATACTAAATCCCTGTAAAATTCTAAGTACTTCCTGGTACTTAGAATTTTAAACTTCTTCTGGATAGTTTTCTCACTTATTTGGGTAGAAAACTGTAATCTCTTTCTGTCGATGTGCAGTCTCATTTCCAAACATTTTATTTATACACAGAACCCATAACCTTGTGAATCCATCACTCCTTCACTCGGTTCTATCCATTATCTTCAAGGAAATGGACATATGCCCTGTTTCAGGGTATAGAATATGTTTCCATTTCTGTTCTTTAAATAGCATACCCTAAGTAGGGCAGGCGGGGGGCAGTTCAAGGATGAAAAAGGATTACAGAGACTGATGATCCACCTCATCATTAGTCTCCACCTGATAAAACACAGAGTTCGAGAGAAGAGGATGATTCATGTTACTAAGGATTCCTGTAGTTCACCAGCTTCCTTCCGTCTTGACTTTCCCCTTTGGAGCCCATGTAGTGTTTACAAATCCTCCCTCCCTCGATGTCAGACCAATGAGAACAGGGATAAAGTACCCTTTATCTGGCAAGCAGAAAACTTCTCCCACACTTGCCTGGCAATAATCCAACACAAATGTAAGCCTCGAAGTTGTGCAGACTAAATTAAATCGTATTGGGGGAACTGCATTGGAAGATTTGGGATTTCAGATTGTTTTTTCTTTTATGGTTGCAGAATTAAAACTATAATGCTGACTTCTTTAAAGCAGCAAGCAGTTTGGTAATACTTTCAATAGCTATTACTTAATGCCCCAGAGTACTCCAACTTAGGGGTGGAAGACCAGAGTGCAGAACAATAAAACTCAAAGTCATCTCAGGTCTCATCCTTCAAGCCTCAGCTTAAATGTCAATTACCTAGGGAAACATTCCCTGACCTTCTAGTCTATGAACACTCTCACAGTGCCCTGTACTTGGCCCGCATATTAGTTATTATATAATAACTGTAATTATTATTTCTACAATTATGTTAATGCTTTGCTCAATTCCTGAATTAATAAAGTCTGCCTTGACATCTTATTTAATACTGCAGACTGTACCATCACACTCATATTCCAAATGCCCTTCACTTTGCTCATTTTTTTTCTTGTCTCTTATCACCTATCATAGTATATAATTTACTTATCAATCATGTTTCCTATTGTTTATTTTTCTCAATTAGAATGTATATTCTACAAAGTATTTTGTGTTTTCTTCACTGGTATATTCTAAATGCCTAGAAGAGTATATAGAATGTGTTTGATAAATGTTTATTGAGTGAATAAATAGGAAAGAAGGCAGAGATCTGTCTGATACTCCTCACATCCTCAATGCCTGGTTGATCATCTACCCAGAATTTCTCATTCAATACCTACTAGTCTGAACATTAGTGAGTACAAGAAAGGAAAAAAATAAAAGATGGAAATTATTTAAAATCATTGGATTAACTAGCCATAACTAAATTCTTCAGAACATAACCTACCATAAAACAGATTAACTTTATTGAGTTTATTCTATAAGTATAAAATAAGTCATTATTAGAGATCCCTAAGTCATATAAGCCACATCTAATCTACACAATTCTCTTTGTTCATGTGAATGAGTATGTGTGTGCTTGCATGTGTGAACTCCAAGTGGTTACAGTTTTTCTGTGTCACAGTCAGCATAGAGAATTAGGAAAAATGAAATCTCAAATGAGTCAAAGCATAAGAATAATTTTGCATGGTTTATTGACATATTTGGTTTTATTTTATTTCTTCATTTGGATGAGAATTTCTTAAAAGGCATGTCATATAAAGAAAGAAGTCATATAAAAGTTTTAATATCATGTGTGTATAGGTATTAGCATATATTCTGGTTAGTGTATGTTTATATGGACACTTAAATTGACAGGAAAATTACATAATTTCACTATTAAAATAACAAATAATTTGACAATTTTTTCAGGTAAAAAAAATAATTTTCTATGAGAATATTTCCCAAATACATGTTTTCTCCAATAATATACTTTTAGAGGATCTTACCCAATATGAAATAATATTCACCTTTGTTGAGACTCTTGTATTTCTCTTTTGCTTTTGTTACTTTTCATAGCCAAAGAAGTATACATTTTCCATTGATAACTGAGAGCCATTCATTAGTATAAATATTTTGGCAAATATTCCTTTTAGAGTGAGATTGCAGTCCTAGACACTGCATGAGCTTGTGACATCCTCTGAGGCCTCCAGGACACTGCCCATTGTACATACAATCAAGTGTCTTCAATATGAGAGTATCTGGGATAGTTCTAAGGTCAATAATAGATTGCAATCATAAAATCTCCTCTTAAGATTACATGTTACTAATCAAAGGATAGAATTCAGAATAGAGATTATGACTTCATTAGTCATGTGTCTTATGTTTAAAAATGGTTTTTTAAGCATTGTGGTATATATGCTGAAGCAGAAGAAATATCAAATGTTTCAAACATATGCCTACCTATACCTTGCATTTAAAGCTAGTTTAGATGCATTTAATGACAATATTACAATTATGTCCTGTAGTTTGCTTAAAATTATGAGATTGAAATAAGATCCTTTTGTCTGTAAAAGACTAAGAATAGAGTAAGCAAAATGATAATTGGAATGAAGGAAGCCTTCTTCTTTACTCTCCAGGGCTGAGTTAATAATATTCTCCTAAGTTCATTTCCACAGCAAGTCTTTGCAAGGGTTTGTGTTTCTAGGTTGCAACTGAGCCATGATCTATGAGCTATGGAAAATCAAGTGAATGGCTGACTGGGCACCATGTTAAACATTCATGTGTCTAGCACTTACAGGTATGTGAAGCAGCAATACAATCATGAAGATAATTTGAGTAAAAATCATAATTTAATTTAAATATTCAGATTATTGTAGCATAAATGTTTAAAGCCTGAATTACTGGGACAACAACATCAGCTTTCAATCAGGTCATTAATATAGATCTTAAAAAAAATTGGCATATTAGGCCACTCTCACACTGCTACAAAGAACTGCCCAAAACTGCATAATTTATAAAGAAAAGAGGTTTAATTGACTCATAGTTCCACATGGCTAAGGAGGCCTCAGGAAACCTACAATCGTGGCCGAAGGGGAAGCAGGCACATCTTCCACGGTGGCAGGTGAGAGAGAGGGTGGTGTGAAGGAGGAACTGTCAAACACTTATACAACTACCAGATTTTGTGAGAACTTGCTCACTATCATGAGAACAGCATGGAGGAAACCATGCCCATGATCTAACCACCTTTCTCCCTCAACATGTGGGGATTACAGGTCCCTCCCTTAACCTGTGGGGATTACAATATGAGAGGAGATTTGGGTGGGGACACAGAGCCAAACCATATCATTTGGTATGGTTAGAATTAGTTCAACTAAAACATATAACTGAATGTTACTGGTTTTCTTGTCAAGTAAAATTGCCATCATTTTCACAGGTAATTCCTACTTTCCACCTGCAAAGTGAATTTTCAAACTGAAATAAGCACATTAAAACTAAAAGTCTAGTCATTCTCTCTATCTATATCATTAACAAAAGAATATATCCGGCCGGGCGTGGTGGCTCACAACTGTAATCTCAGCACTTTGGGAGGCTGAGGCGGGTGGATCACGAGGTCAGGAGTTCAAGACCAGCCTGGCCAAGATGGTGAAACCCCATCTCTACTAAAAATACAAAAAATTAGCCGGGTGTGGTAGTGGGTGCCTGTAATCCCAGCTACTCAGGAGGTTGAGGCAGAGAATCACTTGAACCCAGGAGGCGGAGGTTACAGTGAGCCGAGATCATGCCGCTGCACTCCAGCCTGAGAAGTAGAGTGAGACTCCGTCTCAAAAAAAAAAAAAAAAGAGAATAAATTCCTTCAAAATTCTCCCATCTGTGAGCTACTGAAATTAATACTCTTTATTAATGCCTATTTTATTCAAATAATGGTTGCTTAACAGTATTGCATTTTGTTACTATTACTCAAGTGTTGGCTATGTATAGCTATATACTATGCAGTTTTTTGTGCCATAATAAAAAAGTATATTAATTAATATTCTAATTAATTTCCTAGTTCATTAGAAAATATCCATAGTTTTGTTTTGTTTTTTATTATACTTTAAGTTCTGGGATACATGTGCAGAATGTGCAGGTTTATTACATAGGTATACACTTGCCATGGTGGCTTGCTGCACCCATCAACCTATCATCTACATTAGGTATTTCTCCTAATGCTATCCTTCTCCTAGCCCCCCACCTGCCAAAAGGCCCTGATGTGTGATGTTCCCCTCCATGTCCATGTGTTTTCATTGTTCAACTCCCACTTATGAGTGAAAATATGTGATGTTTGGTTTTCTGTTCCTGTGTTAGTTTGCTGAGAATGATGGTTACCAGCTTCATCCATGTTCCTGCAAAGGACATGAACTCATCCATTTTTATGGCTGCATAGTATTCCGTGGTGTATATATGCCATGTTTTCTTTATGCAGTCTATCACTGATGGGCATTTAGGTTGGTTCCAAGTCTTTGCTATTGTGAACAGTGCTGCAATAAACATAAGTGTGCACGTGTCTTTATAGTAGAATGATTTACAATCCTTTGGGTATATACCCAGAATTGGGATTACTGGGTCAAACGGTATTTCTGGTTGTAGATCATTGAGGAATTGCCACACTGTCTTCCACAATGGTTGAATTAAGTTACATTCCCACTAAGAGTGTAAAAGTGTTCCTATTTCTCCACATCCTCTCCAGCATCTGCTGTTGTCTGACTTTTTAATGATTGCCATTCTAACTGGCATGAGATGGTATCTCATTGTGGTTTTGATTTGCATTTCACTCATGACCAGTGATGATGAGATTTTTTTCATATGTTTGTTGGCCGCATAAATGTCTTCTTTTGAGAAGTGTCTGTTCATATCCTTTGCCCACTTTTTGATGGGGGTGTTTTTTTTCTTGTAAATTTGTTTAAGTTCTTTGTAGACTCTGGATATTAGCCCTTTGTCAGATGGATAGACTGTAACAATTTTCTCCCATTCTGTAGGTTGCCTGCTCACTCTGATGATAGTTTATTTTGCTGTGCAGAAGCTCTTTAGTTTAATTAGATCTCATTTGTCAATTTTGACTTTTGTTGCCATTGCTTTCGGTGTTTTAGTCATGAAGTCTTTGCCCGTGCCTATGTCCTGAACGCTAATGCCGAGGTTTTCTTCTGGGGTTTTTATGATTTTAGGTCTTACATTTAAGTATTTAATCCATCTTGAGTTAACTTTTGTATAAGGTGTAAGGAGGGGTCAAGTTTCAGTTTTCTGAATATGGCTAGCCAGTTTTCCCAACACCATTTATTAAATAGGGAATCCTCTCCCCATTGCTTGTTTTTGTCAGGTTTGTCAAATGTCAGATGGTTGTAGATGTGTGGCATTACTTTTGAGACCTCTGTTCTGTTCCATTGTTCTATATGTCTGTTTCGGTACCAGTACCATGGTGTTTTGGTTACCATAGCCTGGTAGTATAGTTTGAAGTCAGGTAGTGTGATACCTCCAGCTTTGTTCTTTTTGCTCTGGATTGTCTTGGCTATATGGGCTCTTTTTTCATTCCATATGAAATTTAAAGTAGTTTTTTTCTAATTCTGTGAAGACAGTTAATGGTAGATTTATGGGGACAGCATTGAATCTATAAATTGCTTTTGGCAGTATGGGTATTTTCATGATATTGATTCTTCCTATCCATGAGCATGGAATGTTTTTCCATTTGTTTGTATCCTCTCTTATTTCCTTGAGCAGTAGTTTGTAATTCTTGAAGAGGTCCTTCAAATCCCTTGTAAGTTGGATTCCTAGGTATTTTATAATCTTTGTAGCAATTGTGAATGGGAGTTCACTCATGATTTGGCTGTTTGTCTATTATTGGTGTATAGGAATGCTTGTGATTTTTTCACATTGATTTTGTATCCTGGACTTTGCTGAAGTTGCTTATCAGCTTAAGGAGATTTTGGGCTGAGACGATGGGGTATTCTAAATATACAATCATGTCATCTGTAAACAGAGACAATTTGACTTCCTCTCTTCCTATTTGAATACCCTTTATTTCTCTTGCCTGATTGCCCTGGCTAGAACTTCCAATACTATGTTAAATAGGAGTGGTGAGAGAGGGCATCCTTGTCTTGTGCCAGTTTTCAAAGGGAATGCTTCCAGCTTTTGCCCATTCAGTATGATATTGACGGTGGGTTTGTCGCAAATAGCTCTTACTATTTTGAGATAAGTTCAATCCTATTTTATTGAGAGTTTCTAGCATGAAGAGGTGTTAAATTTTATCGAAGGTCTTTTCTGTATCTATTTAGATAATCATGTGGCTTTTGCATTGGTCCTGTTTATGTGATGGGTTATGTTTATTGATTTGCATATGTTGAACCAGCCTTGCATCCCAGGGATGCAGCCGACTTGATCATGGTGGATAAGCTTTTTGATGTGCTGCTGGATTCGGTTTGCCAGTATTTTATTGAGGATTTTCACATCGATGTTCATCAGGGATATTGGCCTGAAATTTTCTTTTTTTGTTGTGTCTCTTCCAGGTTTTGGTATCAGCATGATGTTGGCCTCATAAAATGAGTTACAGACAAGTCCCTCTTTTTCTACTGTTTGGAATAGTTTCAGAAGGAATGGTTCCAGCTCCTCTTTGTACCTCTCATTTGGCTGTGAATCCATCCGGCCCTGAGTTTTTTTTGGTTGGTAAGCTATTTATTACTGCCTTAACTTCAGAACTTGTTACTGGTCTATTCAGGGATTCGACTTCTTCCTGGTTTAGTCTTGGGAGGGTGTATGTGTCCAGGAATTTATCCATTTCTTCTAGATTTTCTAGTTTATTTATGTAGAGGTGTTTATAGTATTCTCTGACGGTAGTTTTTATTTCTGTGGGATCAGTGGTACTATCCCCTTTATCATTTTTTATTGTGTCTATTTGATTCTTCTCTATTTTATTAGTCTGGCTAGCAGTCTATCTATTTTGTTAATCTTTTAAAAAACCAACTCCTGGATTCACTGATTTTTTTGAAGGGTTTTTTTGTGTCTCTATCTCCTTCAGTTCTGCTCTGATCTTAGTTATTTCTTGTCTTCTGCTCACTTTTAAATTTGTTTGCTCTTCCTTCTCTGGTCCTTTTAATTGTGATGTTAGGGTATCGATTTTAGATCGGCATTTGCTGAGGAGTATTTTACTTCCAATTATGTGGTCAATTTTAGAACAATTTTGATGTAGTGATGAGAAGAATGTATATTCTGTTGATTTGGAGAGGAGAGTTCTGTAGATGTCTATTGGGTCCCACTTGGTCCAGAGCTGCGTTCAAATCTTGAATATCCTTGTTAATTTTCTGTCGTATTTATCTGTCTAATATTGACAGTGAGGTGTTAATGTCTCCCACTATTATTTTGTGGGAGTCTAAGTCTCTTTGTGGTCTCTAAGAACTTGCTTTATAAATCTGTGTGCCCCTATATTGGATGCATATATATTTAGGATAGTTAGCTCTTCTTGTTGCATGGATTCCTTTACCATTATGTAATGCCCTTGTCTTTTTTGATCTTTGTTGGTTTAAAGTCTGTTTTATCAGAGACTAAGATTGCAACCCCTGCTCTTTTTTTTTTTTTTTTTTTTTTTTTTGCTTTCCATTGGCTTGGTAAATATTCCTCCATCCCTTTATTTTGAGCCTACATGTATCTTTGCACGTGAGATGGGTCTCCTGAATATAGCCCACTGATGGGTCTTGATTCTTTACCCAATTTGCCAGACTGTGTGTTTTAATTGGGGCATTTAGCCCATTTACATTTAAGGTTAATATAGTTATGTGTGAATTTGATGCTGTCTTTATGATGCTAGCTGCTTATTTTGCCTGTTAGTTGACGCAGTTTCTTCATAATGTCGATAATCTTTACAATTTGGTATGTTTTTGCAGTGGCTGGCACTTGCTTTTTCTTTCCATGTTTAGTGCTTCCTTCAGGAGCTCCTGTAAGGCAGGCCTGGTGGTGACAAAATCTCTCAGCATTTGCTTGTCTGTAAAGGATTTTATTTCTCCTTCACTTATGAAGCTTAGTTTGGCTGGATATGAAATTCTGGGTTGAAATTCTTTTCTTTAACGCTGTTGAATATTGGCCCCCACTCTTTTCTGACTTGCAGGGTTTCTGCAGAGAGATCTGCTGTTAATCTGATGAGCTTCCCTTTGTGGGTAACCCGACCTTTATCTCTGGCTGCCCTTAACATTTTTTCCTTCATTTCAACCTTGGTGAATCTGACGATTATGTGTCTTGGGGTTGCTCCTCTCAAGGAGTATCTTTGTGGTATTCTCTGTATTTTCTGAATTTGAATGTTGGCCTGCCTTGCTAGGTTAAGGAAGTTCTGGACAATATCCTGCAGAGTGTTTTCCAACTTGGTTCCATTCTCCCCATCACTTTCAGGTACACCAGTGAAATGTAGGATTGATCTTTTCACAAAGTCCCATATTTCTCGGAGGCTTTGTTCGTTCCTTTTCATTTTTTTTCCTCTAAAAATCTTGTCTTCACGCTTTATTTCATTAAGTGGATCGTCAATCTCTGATATCCTTTCTTCTGCTTGGTTGATTCAGCTATTGATACTTGTGTATGCTTCACAAAGTTCTTGTGCTGTGTTTTTCAGCTCCATCAGGTCATTTATGTTCTTCTCTAAACTGGTTATTCTAGTTAGCAATTCTTCCAACCCTTTTTCAAGGTTCTTAGCTTCCTTGCATTGGGTTAGAACATGCTCCTTTAGCTCAGAGGAATTGGTTATTACCCACCTTCTGAAGCCTACTTCTGTCAATTCATCAAACTCATTCTCCAACCAGTTTTATTCCCTTGCTAGTGAGGAGCTGTGATCCTTTGGAGGACAAGGGGTGTTCCGGTTTTTGGAATGTTCAGCCTTTTTTGCTGGTTTTTCCTCATCTTGGTGGATTTATCTACCTTTGGCCTTTGATGTTGGTGACCTTTGAATGGAGTTTTTGTGTGGATGTCCTTTTTGTTGATATCAATGCTATTCCTTTCTGTTTGTTAGTTTTCCTTCTAACAGGCCCCTCTGCTGCAGGTCTGCTGGAGTTTGCTGGAGGTCAACTCCCAACCCTGTTTGCCTGGGTATCACCAGCGGAGGCTGCAGAACAGCTAAGATTGCTGCCTGTTCCTTCCTCTGTAAGCTTCATCGCAGAGGGGCACCTGCCAGATGCCAGCTGGAGCTCTCCTGTGTGAGGTGTCTGTTAACCCCTGCTGAGAGGTGTCTCCCAGTCAGGAGGCACAAGGGCCAGGAACCCACTCAAGGAGGCAGTCTGTCCCTTAGCAGAGCATGAGTGCTATGCTTGGAGATCTACTGCTCTCTTCAGAGCTGGCAGGCAGAAATGTTTAAGTCTGCTGAACCTGCACCCACAGCTGCCCCTTCCCCCATGTGCTCTGTCCCAGGGAGATGGGAGTTTTATCTATAAGCCCCTGACTGGGGCTGCTGCCTTTCTTTCAGAGATGCCCTGCTCAGAGAGGATGAATCTAGAGAGGCAGTCTGGCTACAGTGGCTTTGCCAAGCTGCGATGGGCTCTGCCCAGTTCAAACTTTCTGGTTGCTTTGATTACACTATGAGGGGAAAGCTGCCTACTCAAGCCTCAGTAATGGTTGATGCCCCTCCCCCCACCAAGCTGGAGCATCCCAGGTCAACTTCAGACTGCTGTGCTGGCAGCGAGAATTTCAAGCCAGTGGATCTTAGCTTGCTCAGCTTCATGGGGGTGGGTTTTGCTAAGCTAGACCACTTGGCTCCCTGGTTTCAGCCCCCTTTCCAGGCGAGTGAACGGTTCTGTCTCGCTGGCATTCCAAGCACCACTGGGGTATGAAAAAAAAAAAAAAAAAACTCCTGCTGCTAGCTGGATGTGTGCCCAAACGGCTGCCCAGATTTGTGCTTGAAACTTAGGGGCCTTGTGGTGTAGGCACTCCAGGGAATTTCCTGGTCTGCGGATTGTGAAGACCACGGGAAAAGCATAGTATCTGGGCTGGAATGCACCATTCCTCAAAGCATGGTCCTCACAGCACGGCCCCTCGTGGCTTCCCTTGACTAGGGGAGGGACTTTCCCAACCCCTTGCGCTTCCTGGGTGAGGCGACACCCCACCCTACTTTGGCTCATCTTCTGTGGGCTGCACCCACTGTCTAACCAGTCCCAATGAGATAAGCCAGGTACCTCACTTGGAAATGCAGAAATCACCCACCTTCTGCATTTATCTTGCTGGGAGCTGCAGATGGGAGCTGTTCCTATTTGGACATCTTGCCAGCCACCTCTGCAGTTTTTAATGTTAAAATCAAAGTATATTTTTTAAGGCTTTGATGATTATGATCAGAAGGGTTTTTGAGAAAAAAATTTAGATTCTGAGTCTTCATTTGCTCCTTTTTGAAAGTTTCATAGCTTTGGAAGTGTCCACTTAAATGTACTTTTCTAGTATTTCCAGAATTTTCAAAGTTATACTCTAAAATATTATATCATAAATAAATTAAAGCTTAGAAACAGGCAAGATAAAAGAAAAAGGTTCATTCGAACACCCTCTTCCTCTCTTTCTCTTTCTCTTTCCATATATATATTTTAAATATTATATATTTATAAGAACTAAATTTGGCTTCTGCCAATATATTTAACATGAGAAATTCAGTTAATTTCATCAAATTGCTCCTACAAATGATCATTTGGGATAATTTAAGATGAGGAAGAAAAGAAATAAATATTTTTCATTCATTGGATTTATGCTAGCAAAATATATAATACAAAAAAAAACAAGTTAAAATAATAAAGATTAGTTTTCAAAATACCCCTTTGTTCTAATTACTGAGATATTCTTAGTAATAACATTTTTTCTTGCTTTATTGAGGCATAATTGGCAAATAGAAATTGTATATATTTCAGGTGTACAGTGTGATGTTTTGATATATGTGCATATTGTGAAATGATTACCATAATCAAGCTAATTAACATATTCATCTCTTTGCATAGTTACCTTTTTGTGTGTGTGCGAGAACACTTAAGATCTAGTCTCTCTGCAAAATTTAAATATACAATATTGTGCCCAGTAATAATATTTTGAGGCTGAAGCATCCATATAACTCTCTTGACCCTTTACTTTTCATGTGTAGACCCAAAGAAAATCTATCACGACTCTGAAATGCTACAATCAGAATTATAATACACAGCAGGAAATTAGAAATTATTGATATAAAATGAGATCAAACTAGATTTTGCACCTACAAAAATGAATAAAATTCCTTTCCATCAAATGTGTAAAAGTTAATCCAATTTATCTAATAGTAAAAACATTGATTTTATGTGGTATTTTTCAGACCATAGCCATATTTAGCCTTTCAAATCACTGTGATAAATAACTTTCTGATCCATCGCTTCCCCTAGCTTTGTTGCTATTATACAGCTTTATCTGATTGATATAATTTTAAAATATGTATTTATGACACTGAATCTCCAATTTTCAATTGGATTGTATTTATAAAAATCCAATTTCTAAATATCTTATCCATGTTGGTTAACAGTCACAAAAATAAAGATCACTTTATCAATTGGGGCTAATTCTAGAGACTAAACAAAAAAAACCTCTATTATTTTCCAATTTGCTTTGCTGTCTATACTCCTGTATACACCAGTATTCCCTTGAAATATGATCTGTTCTGAGTTCCTCAAGCACAGAGAGTTCTAGGGCACATATAATGTTAGGGCACTTCATTATGTATTTTTGTCACCAGTTATTTTGTTTTGAATTAATATTTATTTCAGGGACATAGGATTGTTTTTGCAGTGAACCATCCCTGACTATCAAACTATTGCCTACAATCACTGTCATTAATGCAGCACTATCACATGAGAGCCAAGGATTAAACCTGCCAAAACAAGCCTAAGATTTTATAGTCACGAGGCAATTAATTACTACACATAGAAATAAAACTAGTCACATCCCCAGATTATATCAAAGTACTCATTTTACAATATTGCCTGCTAGAGGATTAGTCTGATTGATGACACAATTTCTCCTGAAATTTTTGCCATCTGAAAACCTAATGACATCAGGATAAACCATTTTACTCTACTTTAGGCCACTCCTATTATTTTCAACCTTTGCGCCATTTTATTTTCACCCTTAATGCAAAGAGGGGCTTCTCTTTATTTTCCTCCTCTCTTACCAGGAGTCAGTCACTATCCAGCTATCCAGGGCAGAGAAGATTATCCATTTAATAAGGAATTACTGCCATCTTGTGGTTACCATAATTGAAGGAAAAAATTCTAATGCTCTAGACAACAAAAAAAAGATTGAGATGTTATATGCTATTTTATCCATTTTAATTGCAACATACCTCATTAAAGAGACAGTATGATACACGATGTTTTTTAGTGAAAATATGTACATGAGTATTAGAGCATTCAGGAAGATGATCCCTGTTCCACACTTCATCAAAATCCAGCAGTAAATGAAAAATGTAAAGTTTTAATCTAAAATAAAAATGTGAGTCTGCACATGATAGACAATTATGTAGAAAACTAAGTGGAAGCATTAACAATTTCTTATACCTACCCCTACTTCAGCAATTTATCTTCATTTTTTTTAATGCTAAGAATTTGTAGAGGATCATAATTCAGTAGGTTCAAATATTTCTAACTCTGAGGTGACATGTTTGCCACACATCTCAATAGCCCATGTCAGCACCGGAAATTGGCCAAGACCTACCAATAACCAGAAACAGATTTGAAGTAAATGCTTCTCTCAGATCTGTATGGCACATGTTGTCCTCAATATTCTTTTCCTTGACATGTGACAAATTTGCAAATTCTGCATTTTTAAGATTCACATGGTAGAGCCAGTAAAACACTGGCAGTGAGATCCAATAAGCACATCTAAGAACACTTTGTTCTGAAAGTATAAAGCAAAAAATATAACTCTGCTTCTCTGTCAAGATATGTGACATTATTTAAAGCAAAATTAGTGTTTTGAGAAGTGGTTTCAAGGTATATTTATCTGAATGCATTTGATCGAGGAAAGCAGCTCACTAAAAACTTATTTTAAAAATGAGGTGTTCAAAAAGAACATTTTCTCCTCATAAGATTTGTATTGGTCTGAAGTGCAAAACCTTAAATAATGGTAGAAAACACTCCACCTGGTGGTAGAAGAAAAAGGGTAGCAGCTCTATGCAAAAGATCTTCAGACAAAAAGATGGAGTGAATGAACAGAATACAAGCCTAGCTAGAAACCATGTCAGATACTTCACTGCAGTTGCTGAGCATCCTAAAAGCAAAATCCAGACAGAATCTGTCTCTCTATAAATCTTTCCACCCCTTTCCATTACTAGGTGGGTACTGTTGGCTCTAAGCCATCTGATTTTACTATGATTTATTAACTGCTATGCATTATATATGAGATTCAGGTTTGCTGAAGAGTTACCCTTATGGTCATTGTTGCATACAAATCAGCTACTGTTAGAGAGGTTTATTGCATCATTTTATGCTGCTAGCACTTCTGTTAGGCAGTGGTATAATATGTAACTGGAAAAGAAAACCCCTCCTGTTATATTTTCCCTTATACGTTACTAGCACATGCAGTGCACGTTAAGAACAATAGTCTTTTGTTCTGTTCTGTTTATAAAAAGAAGAAAAAGCATCCAGAACAATGGGTGAGAAGAAACAAAAACCTGTCGCCTAAATCAAGGGATTGGTATTCTCCAAATCATTGCTACCGCATTGAGCCATTTTCTCTGGTAAGACCAACTGAAACGTGAGAAAGAGCAATAATGTGAGCAAAACCAATTTACTCTTGGTAGGAAATTGGAAAAAACGGTAGCAGAGATCTAAGCAGATCTGTCTCTGAAATAAGCTACCACAAAACAGTATTTCCACACTCTTTTTACATTGAGACATTCGATTAACTAAGTAATTCAACTCGAATTTCTAGCCCAGCTCTCAGTACAATGACTTGACAGCTTGCCTTTAGCACTTCGCTTGTATGTTTGCTCATAACTGGCATAAACAATCAAGACAAAAGCAACACATTACCTAAATGGCCTTGGTTTACCTGCAACAAAAGGCAGAATGGATATTGTCTTACATACCCAGCAGAAAGGGAAAAGGCATGGCTGACCATATTTTTTTTTTTTAAAGCAGGGGAAGGAGGGCTGTTTTCCTTCCTTTCTGAAATTTTGCCATGTTACTCTAACTGCAAGCATTGCTATCAACTTCAATGTGGCATATGTTATTAAGTGTTTCTGAAGAAAGACATTAGTATTAGGTAACAGCATTATGACTAAGAAGAATGAGTCAAATATTCTGCACTCCCAGCTTTAGTAAGACTTCTGCAGGCATACTAGAAACATCTACTGAGATATATGTAAAATGACTTTAGAATCTCAACAATGTAGATATAAATACATGTTTGTATTTCTGTTTTAAAAATTTTGTGTAAGTCATCCTTGAATGCATTTCCTAATATTTTTAAATAGCTTGATTTCCTCTTAACTAATTGCGTGGCATGGTGAAAAAGTTTTCAATGTAGTTTAGTATAAAACCATTTATTGGATTCCCACTGTGTGCCTACTGATAACTTTTAAGCATAACAGAGATGAATGGTTGTTAGTTGAGCTCAGAGATTCTTAATGTCTTCAAGTCTCTGATTTTTATAGAAATTTTCCATGTATAATGAGTTTTATCTCACAAAAACTGCCAGAGAGAGGAGATGCTTAGAAGGAAAATGAGACCTTGAAGAAGGAGAGGGCAGACAACATGAACCAAGAGAGTAAATTGTTCTCCTGCATGGGTAACTTTGAAAAGTATCAATGATAGGTTATACTAAAAAAAAAAAAAAAATCCATATTCTATGATGTCATCAATGCCTTGAAACTCAAGACTTTTCCAGTTTCCTGGATCAATGGCTTGAGAAATGTCCTAAATACAGGGTCACAATTTTGTGTGATAACCATCCCATATCCCCCCTCTGCCCCCGAAATTTTCCTTTAAGGGGGATATTGTTTTCCTTCCCAAAGGGTATATGATTCGGAGATGTGGAAAACGCATCTCCTGAAAAGAAACTATTAATTGGCATATGATATTATTATAAGGCTTTATTTTCCTTTGGAAAAAACCCAAAAACCAAAGAATTACCAATTTTTAAACGATTTTCAAAATGAGTAACTGAAAAATCTCAGAAGCAACCCCCAAACTATTGCGTCACGCAGTTTGTGGGTATTTTAGTGTCTTTTTAAAAATCAGTGTGTATGATCTCTATTTTCTGGGTGACTAACATTAATTAAAATGAACTGCACAATCAGAGAGTGAAGATAAATATGCACCGCTTATTCCAGTTTTTCTTTCTTCCAATGACACTATTTAGACTGATAAACATCACTTGGCCTTGGCAATCTAGACGCACAGGCCTGTGAATAAGCCCTAATTAAGTTAAGTGGTATCTCTCCAAGGACATCTGCTACCAAAAGTTTCAAATATCCACAACAAAACATAATATTCCTACCTCCAGAAACATGATTAATATAGAAATATTTTTCTCCAAAAGGGTAAAGTTAGGATTTGAGATATTGCTTCCTTTATTTTAGAGCTACAAAACTTCCAGTCTTATGTCACTTCTTTTTTTCTGTTTCAGTTATTTACATCGTCTTACTCCCCACACAGTTTGACAGGTATAATTAAAATGAATGTAAACAATCAAACAGAAAAGCATTATTATGCAGTAGAGGCTGGAAGAAAATCTAACATTTTTTTTTCTCTTTGGTGAGGAAGTGGCTTAGTTAAACTTTCCCTCGACCTCTATTGATTTATGATACACTTCCTTTCAGATGGTGTCTCTACAAAGCAAAGTGAAATGGACGGTTTTCCAGCTAATTTGTTTTGTATGGACAGCCAAGCTGGACACTTGCAGACCACAAAGTCTGTGAATGAGAACCTGGGAGCTGACATGAGAAGAATTGAGCTGGAGCCTTTTGCCATCACTGAATAAATAACTTACCCTCTTGAATCCTTACCTGTACAACTGGCATGAGACACCAGCCTGCCTTTCACACAGCTTGTGATCTAATAAGATAATGCTTATGTACCTGTTTTAATATAAATAGACTGATATTAAAATGGCACATAACACAATCATTTTTACTACATCAGTCTTCATTATAAATTATTTTATATGTATTGATAGGACTGAGTTGCTAGATTTTCAAATGAATGTTTGATGAGTTACACCAAGATAATACAAGCATTTTTAATATTTATAGACAAAAAAGTTTATTTTTCATATTTCTGATGATGAGAGAAAGATTCTTATTTTGTCTGTTATTAAATAAGCTGGATGTACACAAGTTTTCACATTTTCTGATTAAAAAAAGATTTTAAAAGAAAAAAAATGTTAATCAAATGCCCGTATGGGGAGAAGTAAAATTTTTGTTGTGGCAAAGTTAAAGTGCACCTCTCTCAACAACACTGAATTTTTGCAAACACTGAGTATTTACTTGGTTCAGCCAATGTTAGTTGTAAGTTTAAGGTAATTATAGTACTTGAATGGTATAGAGGAGGATAGCTATTACAAATTGGGGGAGAAGGAAAGGAACTTCAGTGGTCTCGGAAAATTTAAGACAGAATTTGACCGTTCTTGTTTTTTAAAAACACGATGCCCCATCATCCTTTGATCCACCAGTAAGAATATGAAGCTGCACCCCACAAGCTACATAGCATAAGGTGATTTAATGCATTGTCTATATTTTATACTATATTACAATGCAGCTTACACATATTCAAAACAATTGTTAGGCTACAGCTTTGTCACATTGTGCATTATTTACAATCACTTGTAAATCCAGAAAAATACACACGCGGAGAAATGAAAGCAGGAGGTAGAGATTGTTTTAATGTGATTATATTGGCATCTGATATGATAGTGCTTTGGACCATATTGACATGAGTGAGGATTCTAAGTAGCAACTGTTCAATACCATCCGTTGGACTTCTCTGATAGACCACTTAACTATCTCAGCTTTTCCAGTGATCATCTCATTTATCTAGGATTATTGCACTGAATTTACTGTTTGGTTTTCTTCCAGAACTGAAATGTCAAGTCCAGTGTCATGTATGCAGTAGCTTTGTGCTGTGAGAGCTTCACAGATCCCCCAAAAGCTGCTAGCAGTTGATCTTTGGATAGAGCTAGAAATAAATAAATCCTCTTTAGCAGATCAATATTCATCCCATTTAATGCTTGATGTGAAACTTGTGGATTTGTGGTGGTAATGCTGATGTACAGCTAATCGTTGAAAATGGGCATTAGGGCTTTTATAGCATGGCAACATATTGTCAGGCAGGAAGGGAAAGAAGTGGAAAACACAGCCTGGAAAAAAAATATGGTAAGTTTATATAAATTTGCTGCATATTCGGAATCCACTTGGGGGGTTTTACTATGCAATACTAGAAGCTAATAATGTGGACAACAAACAGATCTGCTCTGTAAAAGAAATCTCTGTGGCCTTTCCTTGGTTTGCCACTCTTTGTTAGACTATGTATAAAAATGATGTATCTAACTCGTTTTGAGACCCTGGTGTTAAAGAAATCGATACTGAAAATTTTTTCTTTTGTTGATTGTTACAAGTTTCAATAATTACAGCACAAAAACCAGTTTCACATTAAAAACTATAACTTGGAGAAACAATGGAGTTTTCACACTAGAAATTCATACTAAAAATTTTAAAAAATGAATGAGAGTTTCATACTCAAAAGAATGGAGTATAAAACCGTGTCCTGAATAAACTCAAACTGACAAGAAAGACATCCTGCTAGTGAGAGAAGTTGAAAATATGGCTAGTGCCAATGGCTATTTTTTTTTCTAGTCGTTGGTGTGAGAGTCATGTCACACATTTCTTAGATTGCAAGAGTAAAATTTATCCTTTTCAATTCTACAATTTTATTTTTTGCTATAGATATATGATAATTCCTACTGTCATGGTGTCAGATAAAGCAAGCTGGTGCCCGGCATTCTTTGCATGCAATAACTTTTAGCCCGACCACATAAGCTGTAATACAGACACTTGTGGTCATCAATGGTATATTTTCAACCCATATTTCTTGATTATTAATTTAATATAATGCAAGCAAAATGTGCATATGATCCTTGTGTGAAAACTTTGACTTCTCAATGTTCTTACAGATTCAGGCTGCCCCTGCTGAATTTTAGAGAGCGTCAAAACTTATTGGTTAAAGGGATGCCTTTATGAGTAAAACATGAGAAATATTCACTTACTGTAAGTATTGAAACTAGAGAACTGATATTGATTTGTTTTCCCTGGATAAATGATATTCTTTCTTAAATAGGTTTCCTTTACATTTACTGAGAAATGAAACACTATAATCTTTACATGGTGGGAGAGGTCGTTAAGCCTAAAATATGCAGAGTAACATCTGCTGGGTACAGATATTTGGGGGACTTCTCAGAAGTGTCAGCTTCCGTTGTGCAAGTCCTAAACTTTACAACTGATTAATATTTTCCCCTGGTAAGGGATCTTGGGCAGTCACAGTTCCCCTGGTTTGCAAAGGCTGACAGATGAGCAAGGAGGTCATGGTCACAAGATAATGTTTATCTGGTGAAGAGTAAATCAGTAAACAGGGGAGGAAAGGTATGTTTATGCTGGAGGCCATGGAAGTTGGGAAACAGTAATGTGCAAAGCAGAAGATAACAATTGGGAAAGTGTGTGTGTGGGTGTGGCTGCAATAGTATACACCTGTGAGTTCATGCACATACATGCAGAAATACATCCAGTTAATCTGGATATGCCAAGAGGCATAATAATATATGAATGTATAAGCAGAGACACAATCCATTATGTTATGTGTTGATGTGTGTGTGAGTGCATATATACAAATGGGATATCTTAGTCCTCTTCTAGGGCTTGAAAAGACAAATGTATTTAAAAATATCTGTCCTGAAAGTAAAAACCTTAAAGTTTGTATTAATTCATGAATAACTGAATAACAAACACAGAAGGTAGGGTGTCTTCTTTCTACCTTTATATTTTGAGGTTGATATCAGAGAAGATGAACAGCCTTTTGCTCTACACAGCAAACCTTTTTAACCTGAAGAATGTTGTGCTGATTGACCTACTGTGACAATTCTCACATACATCTAAAATGATACATAAGTCAAGGATTTTGTAATTTTCAATCCAGAAATTAAATATTTTCCAAGTTCTGGACATTTCATTTATAGGAGATTATTATTAGGAACGTCACAGTTGGCACATTATTTGATATACTGGGTCATTAGAAAACTAGTAAGCAATACTATTTCACAATAGTTATTCACTATATTTATTATTATTCACAATTAATAATGTAACCATTATTCACAATAGTTACATTCTCCCACTTGAGTTCTGGAAAGTACTATTCATGTAGCTTCTCAGGAATAAAGAGAAAATATGTCCCCAAGCACAAGTGGAACAACTTGCTTCATATTCTCCTCTCAGTTACCATGTTGCTCATCTAAAGAGAAGATTTCGAAGAATTTTTTAAAAAGCAGATGTTACTAGGTTTACCATTTTCTGTGTGCTGGCTACTCAGAATCCAAGATACAAATGATGCATTTGCCCTTATGATTTTTCTCACTGATTTAACAAATAGTTATTGAACACATTTTGTGTGCTAGCCAAGATGTGGCTCTTGGTCAAGATGTCACACCTCTTATTTTCGCTTTTCCTTTAGTCCCTGAAACATTGGTATGTATGTGCATATTTTTCAGATGTCCATATTTGTCAACCAAATCATTTGTGGAGCAATATCAAGTATAAATAATACAAAGATGGTTGGGGTGGTGAATGGGTGAACAATTAAAGCATATTCTATCAAGACATGCATATGGATACATGGATATATAGACAGCCAGTGGGTAGTGTGAAGAGACTTATGTTATTATGG
This sequence comes from Homo sapiens, assembly GCF_000001405.40. Taxonomy (NCBI): domain Eukaryota; kingdom Metazoa; phylum Chordata; class Mammalia; order Primates; family Hominidae; genus Homo; species Homo sapiens. The sequence continues at coordinate 111,638,601 of NC_000004.12, forward strand.
GTTCCTGGCTACTCACAAACCGCAGAGTTTTGCCAATTCTCCTAGATCAGAACCCACTAGGTGAGCAACAGATTACATTCTTCTATGGGAAACAAAAACTATCCAGGCTGCACTACTTACAGAAAGAAGCAGGGTCAGCTTCCTAAATTAGAGAAAATAAGACCTAAATTTTTACTAGAAATTAAGTAATTTGAGCACCCACATGTAGGTAGAAAGGTAAATTAAAGGGAAAATTCAATAACTCAGAAACTCTCCTTAGAGAGGGCTAGAGAGGAAAAATGTATGTAGAATACATTTATGTTGTTCAGAATATGTGTGCTTATTATAGAACCGAAAATCAGGTTATAGTCAGGGAGTAAGCCCTTCAGCCTATCTCTCTGGAATGAAAGGCTTCAAAGGTAATATATTACCCTGAACAATGCATTGTTTGATAATGTGTCTTCCAGGGGATTTAGAATCATTAAATGATGGAATCACATAATTTTATGTGGGGTTGGGATTCAACCAACCGCACCTAAAATTAGTTGGGGTTCAACTTTCTAAAAGTTCTAATCAAACCAGTGGTGAAATCATGATAGTGAGGTGAGAACTAGGATTGTTTCTCACCAATATTTCAGACTGAATTTCTCACTCATTTCAGACCAAATGAGTCCATTTTCTAGAAGGGTTTCTATTGTGAAATGTCTTCCACGGACTAATGTACACAAGGGAGACTTGGCCTTGTGAGTCACTGGCAGACGGATGCTTTATCAGTGTATTTTGTCTGTGCAAATATAATTTATCATATTTTAACTAAAATTTGCCAGAAGAAATACTATTTAAATGTGGAAGTTCATCACTTTACCTCACTTCCACTAATCCTTGTTAAAATATTATAAATAACGTAGAGCTTAGAGTTGCAAAACAGAGACCTAACAAGACTTAACCAAAAATCTTTTGTAAAAGATTCAAGTAAAACCTTACAACAGATAACTAAACCAACATGCTTTGATCCACATGAATTATCTATAGTCTTTATCCTTATCTTTAAAAAATGGGGAAGAAAAAAAATCCTCATATTTTAAGCAGATTATTTTATAGAGGCTTTTCTCAAAAAAAAAAAGAAAGAAAGAAAGAAAATGTCCTTTGAGATTTCAAGATATTTCTGTAAGTAACTCTTTTCTAAAGAGAGTTTGATTTGCTCTAGTTTTATGAACCTGCAAGGACTTTTCATCGCTGGAATATGCACAGGTTACTTGCAAAGCTCCTTGAAAAGATTTGTGCCCTCTTTTTATGAAGACAATGAATGAGTAGGAATTTTATACCACAGACAATGAGCGAGAGACAGGAAGACACTTTGATGTTCAAATAATTCGACAAGTTTTGGCATTCTTAAAAAATAATGAAAAGGATCTTTGCCGAAATTTTATTTTGTTTTTGTTCTGTCTTCAGTTCAATAGGCGGGTTCAGGCAGGAAGTACAGCCTGAGCGACTCAGCCAGATCTAGAGGGATTAGTTACAGCAAGAAGGCTGTTGTGTGAATCTGAGTCACTTTTTTTTTCTTTTATAGCAATTCCAAAGAAAAATTCACACAAACTAAGCGTGCCCAATCCTATCTTTATGATACCTATATCTGGTCAAAACTTTAGGTGATTTTAACATAAAATCACCTAAAAATCATTTGCAACTTTTTGTAATTATCGTTGTATGGCAATGCTTTATTGGACTCTATAGACACAGGATTTTTTTATTTCTGAATAAAATGTGATTTCAGTCATAATATTACATAAAATATTTAGTTTGATTTGGGCTTTGTGCTTTCTCACTATGGTGTCAATTGTTTTTAGAGGTAAGCAATTTGTAAGGACTGGAAGTAGAAATTAAGCAACCAAGACAAGAAGGCTGTCCTATCAGTTTCAAGAACAACTAAGAGGATGTTAAAGGTGATGTTGTGATCTAAATTTTCTACATGTTTTGTAACTGAACTATGTGTGAAATAAAAATTAATTTTCAAAAATATGTTTCTAATTAATATTATTCCAACTTGGGGGAATAAAATCCCTCCTTTGAAATCTACCAAAACAAAAAATCTGTTCTAAAATATTAGTGAAGATTTTTGTCTGCTATGTCTAAAGTTGCATTACTCACTGAAGTTTACCATTTTGTCTTCTGCATGCCAAGTAACCCTCAAAGTCTAGAGCAGGCATCAGGCAAATGAACCAACTTAATTAAAAAGTTAATTCTCCAAATTTTAAGCCCTATTTTTTTTCACATTGTGTTTTTATTGTATTTGTTTGGAAACGTTCTCTGACTATGGGGTCATGGATTATAACGTTTTAATGGTAAGCAAATCAATGTTAATAGTTTTATAATTTTTTTTCCAAATTTTGGTCCCAGACTATTTTACAAATATAGCAATGTCAGTGGTACAAAGAATGCTTATATTCAAAACCTCATGTTACAAAAAGAGCTTAGAACATTGGTTTTCTCCCACGAAAACCCCACCACTGATAATGTTAGGAGTAACCCAAAGGATCAGACAACATATCCATTTAATGTATATACTGCATAGAACATTTCTTTTTTCTGCCTCATCATTTACCCATTAACTAAAGTTCCATAGTTAATCATTAGTTATTAACACTTAGAAAACTCACTTGGCCAATTAATAAAAACAGCTCTATTATTGTTGTTACAAAAGCTTGAATATCCCATTTAGTAATATTCACTCTACTAAAATGGAGCTGATAAATTTTAACATTTCAAGAATTTCCAAAATTTTGTTTGAAATTGTAGTTTGTGTTTGGCTTGAAGATATAAAGGCCAACACAATTTGTTAATATGTGGCATTAGGACAAACCCTGGTAGGAAAGTAAAGAATGAGAATATTTACTGGAAATTAAAATGCATACTAGTTGTATAATTTGCTAACTGCTTTGCTACAGAAATTGGACAATATTCGGTATGTAGCAAGATACATTGCAAGCTAAAAATACTTTTTTGGCAATTACCCTGCTATTTAATATAAAAGTAATTTTAGAAAAAATAATTATCAAGATAATTGCCTCAATATGTATCTCTGCATGTGCAGAAACATATGACCTCATTTATTTTTATTCTGTTAGATAACTAAGCAAACTCTTAAGAGTTTGCCAAAACCTATTCTCTGTCTTCACTTAAAATGAAGTAAAAAAAGTATAATGAAAATAACTTGGATCAAAGATAGTTGTAGGAGCCAAGCAAGTAGTGTCTTCCTCTTCCTTCCCTCTTTCCCATCTAGCGTACACACACTCACACGCACACCCACACGCACAAAAACACATGCACTCACATCCCAAGTATTTTGATTCTTTAAACTAATCACCATTGTTTACAGTTTCAATAGCTATGTGTCATTCTCGCCTATTACTGTACAATGCGCAGGTACTATTTGATTTTATTTGCCTACCTGGTCATTGTAGAAGTAACATTTGTTAGAAACTACCTATAGAAGCATTTAAGTCTTGCTCAACTTGTTTGCTATCTTTTCTTGTAATCTTGTGGGTAGTGAAGTTAAATAGATCTGGAGCTGCAATATTATGCAATAATATTTAGAATGTAATTGCACAACAATTGTGACATTTGGGGTCAACGCATTCACATCTGTTTTCTGGTCTAAAAGGACAGCAGAGGGAGCCCCTGCATGACTTAAGAAAACCGAAGGCAGGCAGAACAGAGACTTTTCAGGGTGCGAAGTTACGCATGGTGCCCTCTACTGGAGTCACTGGTAAAGAGTTTTGATTTCAAAAAGAAATTGGTAAGCACTGAATTCCAAACTTGATCACAGCATACTTTACTACCAGTCATCATAAGGGGTGTAGCAGTATGTTCAAAATAAAATTGATTTTAATTACTTTTGATTTTAAAAATAAATATAGGCCTTACATTTCTTACATGAAGTTTGGGGTTGAGAAATCAAATTTCTGTGGAAATTCCACTTTTCCAAAATTTCTATCATTCTGAATTGTCACATTAGTTTCTCTCCATGACTATATAACTCCTATATATTTAGAATCCTAATATGAACTGTACAAACCATGCCATTCATGTGACAATAATATAAGTGTAGCATTGTAATGTGAAATAATTTTGCAGTGAGTGAAATAATTCATTTAAGAGAGTTCTAAATCAAGGGTTGTACTGACTGACACAGTTAAAAACTGTATTTTCCTTGTGATAGTTCAGCAATAATCCCATTACTGAATATTATTTCAATTTCTACTTGCTTTTCAATTCCTTTGAAGAACCATTCGAAAGTACGTATCTTTTATTTGAGTGATTGGTAATAAAATTACTTTAAATTTCACTGTAAATATATAATTACTAATTATAAATAAGAAATTATCAATTGTAATTTGCACTGAGAACCAACAAATTTCTAGATACTTTTTATAATATTGTGTTGGATGTGTAATCGTTTGCAAATAAGTCCACTTTTGCCAACCGCTTGTCAGTTAATTCTGTCTGTTACGTTTAAATACCATGTAGGAAAGTATTAGTGTACTTTGATTTAAAACTATAATAATCTTGAAAAATAATGTTCTTCATTAATATTTTATGATGATCTTATGACTATTAAAATGATCAGTTTATATGAAATAAACCAGATATTTAGCAGCAAATAATTTATGTGATATTTTGCTTCCAGTTTTGACTGGACTGGTCATTTTGGTATTAAGCATTTTTAGCCTAAATTTATGACATTTCTTTCAAATTTCAGAAAGAAGAGCTTGTCTAGGCATACATTACTCTGTGCTTTGTGAAATTTATATTAAGAATATAAATTATAAATTTTTGAAATTTATATTTAAAAGTCTACTTATTTTATAATACTTCACAAACTTCATGATTCTTATATTGTAAATTATAGGGCAGAAATTTAATCTAATTACTATATTCCTCTTATTACCCTTAGCTTTTTCTAACAGTTAAAATACCAATAAACTAAGAATTAATGCAAAATACATAAAATTATATAATAATATCACACAATCCACTTTAATTGAAGACTTATTTTTGATGTACATTAAATAGTATGTATAAAGATGAGGAATTAAAATTTGGTAACCATGGTTAATTTGCCAAGGACAAATTAACTGTGAGTAAGCAAGGATAAAACTCATTCTGACACTAGAGTTTGCTTTCCAAATCTTCCACATCCAAACATTACAACTGAAAGGAGTGGGGAAAGAATTTATTTTACAGAAGTGTCCATTACAGTTAATTCCATTAGAAAATAATTAATTTGATTTTGAATATATCATTTGAAAAAGTTCCACACCTTGAAAGAAGTATCGTTTTATGTAACAAAAGGAACTATCTAAAGAATGAATCTTATATTAAATTCAAAGGAGTGGCATATACAACACACAATTGTAACCAAACACAGCAGTTGTGACCAGTTAATGGGAAAAATTTCAGCATAGTCACCATACATTTTTAAAAAGAGGGAGAGAAGCCAGTGTTCATCTTCATCCAACCTAGCATCAACCAAAGAAAATTTTTGAGGTTGGCCGGGAGCAGTGGCTCATGCCTGTAATCTCAGCACTTTAGGAGGCTGAGACGAGTGGATCACATGAGGTCAGGAGTTCAAGACCAGCCTGACCAACATGGTGAAACCCCGTTTCTACTAAAAAAAAAAAAAAAAAAAAAAAAAAAAAAAAAAAAAAAAATTAGCTGGGCATGGTAGTTAATGCCTGTAATCCCAGCTACTTGGGAGGCTGAGGCAGGAGAATCGCCTGAACCCAGGAGGCAGAGGTTGCAGTGAGCCAAGATTGCGCCACTGCACTCCAGCCTGGGCAACAAGAGCAAAACTCCTTATCAAAAAAAAAAAGAAAACAAAAACAAAAACAAAAAAAACACACAAAAATCAGAAATTTATGAGCTAATTTGAATTACCTCCTATGTTCTGAGCAGTTTAAATGCTTTAGTTTTATTAATTAATTTAACCCCCAAACAATCCTGAAGGCCATTATTACCCCATTTTTTCCAGATAAGACAACTAAAGTACAAATTTTTTTTTAAAATGGCCACGTTGAATAACCTAAACTAGTATTCAAGCCCAAGTCTGACTCTAGAGCTCTTGCTCTATTATGATTTCATCATCATAATTATTTTTAAGAAGTGCCTATTATTGAAGTTTTAATCTCAAAACTTCTGAATTATAAAACACAGTAAATAAATTATAGTAAAACCTAATTCATGCTGTAGCATTCCACAGCTAGTGTATGTCTCAAAAAAGAATCTATACTGAGACTACTGAGGCTATAAGTCAAATGGCTTTCTTTCTGACAACATCATAAACTTCATCTGGAATCTGAAAATAAAGCCACTCTTTTCCTCTTGCACTGTCGTGAGTCATGTAGTTTTTTTCCTTGGGACTTGGAGGTAGGGCAAGGTGGAAAACTCCACAGTCTACTTGAGAGAAACAGCCCATTAGGGGAAAGACCTGGATAGTTCTAGTCAGGTTAACTCTTTCCAAAACTATTTTTTTTTCTTTTCAGTAATATTTCTGCTTTGAAATCTTCCCCCAAGGCTAGTGCAAAGTGGAGAGACCACTAATATTTTTGCAAATGACTTTTCATGAAACCGACATTCTAATTCCTGCTTACCTCTTTAGTTTTTTCTCTAGCTTCTGATTGCTCAGTCTTGAATCCTGGATCCCTCACTTACTAGTTCTATGAGCATAAGAAAGTATTTAATTTCTCCCTATAACAGCTTCCTCATCTATACATTAAAGGTAGAAACAGTATATATTTGATAAAGTTATTATAAGGGTCAAGTGAGGTTGACATGTAAAATGCTTAAAATAGTTTTCAGCATTTAGCAATGCTCACTCAATAAATATTAAATATGTTTTAAAATTGGAAGAACCAAGATTTGCAGTGTAATTAAAAAATCCATATATTAATACAAACTTTTTAAAAAATTTTTCAGACGTAGAATTTGTTCTTGTTCCATTGTATTGGTGAAGAAACTGAAGTTCAAAGTAATTGGCAGAACATACTACTTTGGGCAGTATGGGAGTAGAGGCCTATGGACGACCAGCAACAGGTAAAGACTAATTAGGGGGTATTTCCAAAGAATGATTTTTTTCTTTATTTGATGAGAGAGATACATGCTATGTCTTCAGTTGTCCATATTTTTAAAAATAATTTGATATTTTTCCTTATTCAGATAATATTACCTTATGTGGAAATCATTCCTTCTTTTTTTTTTTTTTTTTTTTTTTTTGAGACAGAGTCTTGCTCTGTCGCCCAGGCTGGAGTGCAGTGGCGTGGTCTCAGCTCACTGCAAGCTCCGCCTCCCAGGTTCACACCATTCTCCTGCCTCAGCCTCCCGAGTAGCTGGGACTACAGGTGCCCACCACCATGCCCGGCTAATTTTTTGTATTTTTAGTAGAGATGGGGTTTCACTGTGTTAGCCAGGGTGGTCTCGATCTCCTGACCTCGTGATCCACCCGCTCATTCCCCTTCTTTAGTGGGAGAAAGAAATGTGCATTTAGATCTACAAATATTTTTGTGTGTTTTTGTGTATATATACACAAATACATATATTCAGAAATAAGTTCTAGCCTCATCAGTGTCATCTATCTGTAGAAGAGAGTATTTATAGAGGTTTGGCCTTGACAGTTGCGGATGTCAAAACAAAAAATGCTCTCAGCTATAGTCAGGGACCAGATTAATGCAATATCTGAATTTGGCTAACCAAAAACACAGTGTTCTCGAATTCTTCTGTGTAAGTTGTGTTATGGCCTTAGATAACCTGGTGGCAATTTAAAGAACATCAGTTATAAAGTCATACAGGTAGAAGTTCAAATCTTGAATCCACCACTTACTATATACAAAGCTAATTGCATATTTTTGGGCAAATTATTTAACCTCCGAGGGCTGCAATTTCTTTGCCAACAATCCATGCCTCATAGGAACACTAAATGTGAGCATGTGCCTAAGACACATATTACAGAGCCGGCAGATGATAGCTGTTGGAATTTGAGTTGATTTAAGCATTAAAGAGCAGGCTGAGGTAGAACATCCCAAACATGAGATTCTTTAAGTCTATGAATCTTTGAGTCCTGACATGGAGCTTTCTATCTAAACTCAAAATGTATGCCTACCTTGTGTAATTTAAAATCCCCACTCTGCATGTGATGAATAGAATCATCCAGATGTGGTCAGTAAATTATGAAAAATCACTTAGTCCTTTCTGCTGAGAGAGGTAAAGAGGTTGTCCCAAATATCATATTTGCCAAATATTATGCTTATTGCTTTATTAAATTTATCCCTGCTAATGTATTCATATAAGTAAAGCACCCAAGCCTGCTTCATCGCTGATGTGAGTATCAGCAGACACAGCAATATCAACAAAATAACTCTATGCGATTACATTCCCTCCCATACTCAAATTAACCCAAGGATTTTTGGATACCATGAGGAAATGTACATACACGGATTAATATGGCTTCTGTGATTAATAGATGTAATGGGCTTGGGCGGGGAGGAGAAGGAGAGTGTGTCAGGAGGGAGGAAAATTTCTCTGGGATTCTTCCCATAATTTTTAAAACACCTAATAGCCAAAGGGGTTATCTCTTTATTTCAAAACTCTCTAGTAAGTGTAATTAGATATTGAGGCCTTGGAACATGCTGCAGTCTACAAGAATAAAGTATAGACATTTTCTACTTATTTCATTTGTCTGGAACTTGAAAAATCTTTTATTTCAGCCCAGAGGGCAAAACAGGAAGACAGAGTTTGCTACCCAGGAAAATTATTAGGTACTTGTCAATTTCTTCTTGAATGATCCTCTAATAATCGCTAATGGTTATTGAACTTATTGCTGACATTATGGAATGTTACATAAGAGAGAGAAAAAACAATCTTTCTTGATTCCTTTTTGACAAGATATAGCGTTAAGTAAAAAGTTGATCCAATAATCCTCATTTTGGCTTAAAAATGTATTAATTCTCAATCAAAATAGCAATTTGAAACTTTGCCTTGACCAACTTCACATCATATATATATTATGAAAAAGTAAGAAGGAGGCCGGGAGCAGTGGCTCACACCAGTAATCCCAGCATTTTGGGAGGCCAAGGCAGGCAGATCATGAGGTCAGGAGTTTGAGACCAGCCTGGCCACCATGGTGAAACCCTGTTTCTACTAAAAACACACCAGGCACTCCAGCCTGGGTGACAGAGCAAGACTGTCTTGGGGAAAAAAAAAAAAAAAAAAAAAAAAGTAAGAAGGCAAGAAAACGGGGAAGGAATGGGAAGGGGTAAGAAGAAGGAAAAGGAAACTGAAAAAGAGAAACATAGGTCTGAAGAATAATTGTTTGTGAGAGTATCACTGAAAAACATTGCATTACGAACTTCTTTATATTATTATTTCTTATCTTAAAATTTTTTTTATTTATTAACAAAACATTTCCATTTTCAAAAACCAGTTTATTTATTCTAAGGCTAAGATACAAGGATGCTTCTCCACTGTCATTTCTTACTACTATTATTCCTTTTTTGTTCTTTTATATTTTTACCCCTAGGCTAGGGATAAGAGTGGAGATCTGAATACAAGAAACTAGTATTCAGGATACGGGTCCTGGTTGTGATTCTCTCCTAATCCTTCGTGTGACTGGAGTTATGTCGTGTGACTCTCATAAACAATGGGTTTTCCTTCTTTGTACGTAATAGTTGGCAGAAGTGGTTACGTCCTTGCCACAAGGAAAAAGTCTCATGAGATGATTAATCTAAAACTTATTTTAGAAATATAAAGGACTTTATGAATTCAAGGCAGTATATTAAGAAAATATCCCCTCAAACAATGAACCAATGAGACTGGCAAAGATCTTGATTTTCCTGATTTTCATTTAGATTCTTAACATTTGAGTCCATTGATATATTCGAAGCTCTACCCTTCTGGAAAATATCATAAGATTTGAAAAATATAGCTGCAAAGAGCAAAAGAAGATTTGCGTCTCAATAGAAAAGATCTACAGATTGAATATTGCATAGAAAACAATTTATTCACCTTACAAAGATAAAAGGA